>NC_000007.14:144155349-144306864 GCF_000001405.40 Homo sapiens
CATATTTATCTGGGAATATGTTAGTTCTGTAGAAAATATACTTTGACTATGAGCAATAAAAATAACATCACAGTTATGCAATATTATGTATTTTAAAGCTATGGCATTGATATATTAAAATGTTGTTTACACTGTAATGACTGTATAGGTAAAGATATCTCTGTGTAATGGATGATGTGGATCTGAAAAATCAAGTCATTCCAGATGTCACTTATCTAGGAAACAGGAGTTCTTCATGGGCCATGAACTGAAATTAAGAATAAAATAATAGATGCAAAATAAAAGACATATAATTTGCTCTTAATTATATAGGTAAAAGGATGTCTAGGAAGGAAATCCTGAATGGTGGGTTTTGAGATAACGACTTTCACAGAAAGTGTCTAGATCCTGGGCAGTAAGAAATAGTAAAATGTCCCATAAAGCTGTAATCAGTGGATTTTATCCCAGGTTTGATGGAAGTATATTAAAACAGGACCAATGACCAATTAGCCAATGACCAATTAACCTCTCAGAGTCAGCATGTCAAAGCTGAAAATCTAAACGTAGGACAATGTCATAGGAAAGGTGAATGAGAGTATGATGCCCTGATTGCTAAGTCAGAGGCTTTTTACCAATAACTAGTTTCTTCCAGGGTACTATATCTGATTTTTTGTTAGTTTGCTAGACAGTAATGGTTATAACCCATTGAATTAAAAATTCCATGTGTCCACATTAATTGATTGACAGATAAATAGAAAGAAAGAAAAAGAAAGAAGAAAAAAAAGAGAGAAAGAAGAAAGAAAGAAAGGAAGAAAGAAAGAAAGAAAGAAAGAAAGAAAGAAAAAAGAGAAAGAAAGAAAGAAAGAAAGAAAGAAAGAAAGGAAAGAAAGAAAGAAAATAGGCAGATAGGCAGATAGATCAAGCTCATTCTCACAGTAAAGCCAACTAATAAATATAAAAGGAATGAGGGAGTTAGAATGACACATTTTGCAAACATCATTACTTATAATGGAGTCAGGTAAGATAATCAATAGATGCTTTAATGAGTGGCTGAGAATTTAATAAAAACAAGATATGTATATATTAGTTTTAATATATTTCCCAGAAATTATACTAGAAAAAAAGGATAATTTTATAATGGAGATAGACGATTTCAATATTGGAGCAAATTAACATTATCTGCCTACTAATAGAAGGCATTGAGATGGACACATAGATTCATCTCCTGTTAAAAATTTAAAGTCTGGATAAAAATATGGAGGGTCAATAGAAAACCCATTCATTTTGAGAACATTCTGTGAAACAACTTGTTTGTACTTTTCAAAAATATTAATGTCTAGACAGAGGGAGAGTGCCAGATCAGAATAGATTAACTGTGGGATATTGCATCACATCTTGAACAGGAAGGACAGAAGATGCTCTATTTAGAAAAGAATATTATGTCAAGATCACATTTCCTGATTTTGATAATAGTACTGTGGTTAGATAAGTGAATACCTTTGTTCTTGGATAAAATAGAGAACTTAGGAGTAAACGGGTATCATGGATACACAGTAGTCTTAAGTGTCCCAGAAAAAATAATAATATATATTAATATAGACAAAAAGAGAACACAAGCAAATATGAAAAAAATTATTAACAATTGTTGAATCTAGATGAAATGTGTATGAGAGTATTGTTTCTAATTCTTGGTACTTATCTGAAGGTTTGAATTACTTTACAATAAAAAGTTAAAAACAAAAACAGAAAGAAACACTGAGGGAAAAGGTGAGTCAAGTAGGCACAAATATATACATGCTTCCTCTGAGCTCATTTTGAAATAAATAACTCATTTTCTTTGATTCTCCAACCCTGACCTTTCATCACACTCTGGTCCTTTACAAAGTATCATTAAGGAATGGGGGACAACCAATCACGGGTCACAGAATTCATCCTGGTTGGATTCCAGCTCAGTGTGGAGATGGAAGTGCTCCTCTTCTGGATCTTCTCCCTGTTATATCTCTTCAGCCTGCTGGCAAATGGCATGATCTTGGGGCTCATCTGTCTGGATCCCAGACTGCGCACCCCCATGTACTTCTTCCTGTCACACTTGGCCGTCATTGACATATACTATGCTTCCAGCAATTTGCTCAACATGCTGGAAAACCTAGTGAAACACAAAAAAAACTATCTCGTTCATCTCTTGCATTATGCAGATGGCTTTGTATTTGACTTTTGCTGCTGCAGTGTGCATGATTTTGGTGGTGATGTCCTATGACAGATTTGTGGCGATCTGCCATCCCCTGCATTACACTGTCATCATGAACTGGAGAGTGTGCACAGTACTGGCTATTACTTCCTGGGCATGTGGATTTTCCCTGGCCCTCATAAATCTAATTCTCCTTCTAAGGCTGCCCTTCTGTGGGCCCCAGGAGGTGAACCACTTCTTCGGTGAAATTCTGTCTGTCCTCAAACTGGCCTGTGCAGACACCTGGATTAATGAAATTTTTGTCTTTGCTGGTGGTGTGTTTGTCTTAGTCGGGCCCCTTTCCTTGATGCTGATCTCCTACATGCGCATCCTCTTGGCCATCCTGAAGATCCAGTCAAAGGAGGGCCGCAAAAAAGCCTTTTCCACCTGCTCCTCCCACCTCTGTGTGGTTGGGCTTTACTTTGGCATGGCCATGGTGGTTTACCTGGTCCCAGACAACAGTCAACGACAGAAGCAGCAGAAAATTCTCACCCTGTTTTACAGCCTTTTCAACCCATTGCTGAACCCCCTCATCTACAGCCTGCGGAATGCTCAAGTGAAGGGTGCCTTATACAGAGCACTGCAGAAAAAGAGGACCATGTGAATGAGGGGAGAATTTTGGTTCAGTTGATCTACCTTTATGAGATGTGGTTTGCTTGTGCAATACAACTCAGAAAAAGTCCACAAGAAGAGGCTTCATTTAAGAATGAAAATTATCTAGATTTTGGCCCTGAAAATGGGAACAAATTTCATGGGTATGCCCATCTTCTTATATTAAGTAGCCTTGTTAGGATACAGAATAGCTATGTTAGAATATCTAATTTTTTGTTTAAAATAATGACATATTTTAAAAAATCAGAAATAGGACTACATGGAGATAAAATAATTATTATTTTATAATTTCAACTTTTGTTTTAGATTCAGGGGGTACATGTGCAGGTTTGTTACATGGTTATATCATGTGATGCTGAAATTTGGTGTGAGATAGAACCCATCACCCAGGAAGTGAGTATACTATCCAACAGAAAGTTACATCAACACATTACTCTTCGCTGATCAATCAGGACATATGTAACTCCTACCATTACCTGGTAGCAGCTAAAAACGGTAGATTAAAATCAATATTAAGAGAAAAAACTTCCAAGAGAAACCAGAACTTTAATAAACAGTAATGTAGAGCAATGTGTTCCTACTTCACTGATTATGAGGACAATGAAATAAATGACTGAGAAATTATAAATTCCTTTTGGGAATAATTCAGAAAAGTAAACAAGAAAACATTGTGGAAAACTTCAATGAGAAGAAAGAAAGAGAGAGAGAGAAAGAAAAAAAGAAAGAGAGAAAGAGAGAGAGAGGGAGAGAGGGAGAGAGGGAGGGAGGGAGGGGGAAGGGAGGGAGGGAAAGAGAAAAGGAGAGAAGGAAAGAAGGAAGGAAGGAAGGAAGGAAGGAAGGAAATAGATAGATAGAAAATAGATAGACAATTGTATATTTCAAGCTGTATGATATGACCAACTGAATGAAATCCATTTGAAAATGTTTAAATGGTCTGGAAGGCAAGAGTTCTAAGCGTGGCTCTAATTTTACATTTATTCATGGTTATGGTAATTACCAATATGGCAAGATTGAGTCACCTGTAGGGGATCTTGGGTAATATTCAATTTTTCTTAAGGTGGGTTGTGATAACACCAAGAGATATGAAACAACTCTGATATAACCAACATCGTCTGCCTTTCATGTTGGTAAAAAGTTCTTTGGATTTGTGAAACAAGATTGAGCAACACTCATTATGCTAATGATGGTACAATCAGTAAAGGTGGCTTTTCTATAGTCATCAGCTAAAGCATTTATTTTTTAAAGTATTCTCTTTATTATAAACTTCAATAGTAATAACTGAGATTTAAGTTGGTGTTCTATTGTCTCAATTTCCTTTTATCTACTAATTTCCTTTTATCTATTAATAAATTAATGGATTTAACTAATCCATTAGTTTTTAGTGCAATTTTATTTTTATTTTATTAATTTTATTTTATTATTTTTAGTGTAGTTTTAAGTTTACAGAAAAATTAAGTGCTAAGAGTTACATATACCCTCTAAACCCTCTCCACACAAATTGTGTCCCCTATAATTAATATCATGCCTTATGTGTGGTACAGTTATTACAACTGGTTGGTCAATATTTGTACATTAACATTAAATATAGCTCATAGCTTACATTAGGGTCCACTGTTTGTGTTGTACATTCTAAAGGTTTTAACAAATATATAATGTCATGTATCCAATATTACAGCATATAGAATAGTTTCACTGCCCTAAAAATCCCCTGTGCTCTACCTATTTATCTCGCTCTCCCTCCTCCAAAACTCCTGGAACCAGTAATCTTTTTAGTAGTTATATAGTTTTGCCTTTTCCAAATTATTTAGTTGAGATCATACAGTATATAGCCCTTTAAGAATGGCTCCTTTCTGAGAAACATGCTGTACTAACTAAGGTTCTTCCATGTCTTTTTGTGGCTTGGTAACTCACTACTTTTTATCACAGAATATGCTGTTATCTGCATATGCCTGAATTAGGCTGTTCTTGTATTGCTATAAAGAAATTCCTGAGGCTGGGTAATTTATAAAGAAAAGAGGTTTGATTGGCTCATAATTCTGCAGACAGCACAAGAAGAGAGGTGCTGGTGTCTGCTCCTGGTGAGAGCCTCAGGAGGCTTACTATCGTGGCAGAAGGTGAAGGGTGAGCAGACATCTTAATGATGAGAGTGGGAGCAAGAGAGGGGAGGTGTCACACACTTTTAAAAGCCAGGTCTTGTGAGAACTATCTCATTATTATGAGGACAGCACCAAGGAGATGGCACTAAGCCATTCATGAGAAATCTGCCTCATGATTCAATGACCTCCTACCACTCCCCAACTCCAACACTGGGGACTCCATTTTGAAATGAGACTTAAAAGGAACAATATCCAAACTCTATCAGTACCATAGTTTGTTTTTCCATTCACCTATTGAAATACATCTTAGATACTTCTGGGGTTTAACAATTATGAATACAGATGCTATAAACATTTGTATATAGGTTTTGGGTTAGCATAAGTTTTTAACTCATTTGGTTAAATACCAAGGAAAGCAATATGCTGGGTTATGTGGGAAGTATGCACTTAGTTTTATAGGAAATTTCCAAACAGTCTACCAAAGTGGCTGTACAATTTGTATTCCCACCTGCAATGAAGGAGAGTTCCTGTTGCTCCATATCCTTACCAGTATTTAGTTTTGTCAGTGTTTTAAATTTTCAACATTTTAATAGGTATACAAGGGTATTTCATTCTTACTTGAATATGAAATTTTCTGATGACAGATGATGTTGAGAATATTTCCATGTGCTTTCTTGCCATCTGTATATCTTCTTTGGTGAGGTGTCTCTTCACATATTTTGTCCACTTTTTTAATGCTTTTTTGCTCATTGTTGAGTATTAAGAGTTACTTGTATATTTTCTACAAGTTATTTTTTTATATTTGTTTTGTAAATATTTCTTCTAGTCTGTGGCTTATCTTTTCATTTTTTTAAACTTCAGTTTTAATGAAGTTCAACCTATCAATTTGTTTTTTGATGGATTATTCTTTTAATCCAAAGAGGCATTGCCAATCACAAGGTCACCTGTAAAGTCTTCTGTTTTCCTCTAAGGATTTTATAATTTTGCACTTAACATGTAAGTCTATGATCCAGCTGAGTTAACTGCATAAAATGTAGTATCTCTGTTCAGGTTTGGGGCTTTTGTTTGTTTGTTTTTTGTATTTTTGCATGTTCAGTTATCCCAGCATCATTTACTGAAAATATTAGCTTTTTTCCATTAAATTTCCACTGCTCCTTTGTCTAAGATCAGTTGACTATAATTGTTTGGAATTTTTTAGGGGCTCTCTCTTCTATTCTTTTGATCTATTTATCTATTCTTTGGCCAATATGACACAGCTGTAATTACTGCAGCTTTATAAAAAGGCTTGAAGTTGGATAGTGTATTCGTCCATTTTCACACTGCTATAAAGAACTGCCCGAGATTGGGCAATTTATAAGAGAAAGAAGTTCAATTGATTCTCAGCTCAGCATGGCTAAGGAGGCCTCAGGAAACTTACAAAAATGGCAGAAGGCAAAAGGGAAGCAAGGCACCTTCTTCACAGGCAGCAGGAAGGAGAATGAATGCAGGAGGAACTACCAAACACTTATAAAACCATCAGATCTCATGAGAATCCACTCATCATCACAAGAACAGCATGGAGGAAACCGCCCCCATGATTCAATTACTGTCACCTGGTCTCTCCTTTGACAGGTGGGGATTATTTATAATTCAAGGTGAGATTTTGGGTGGGGACACAACCAAACCACATCAGATAATGTCAGTCATTCATCTTTATTCCTCTTTTTCAACGTTGTGTGGCTACTCTGGGTCTTTTGTCTTTCCATATAAACTGTAAAATCAGTTTGTCGTATCCACAAATAACTTGTTAAAATTTGATTGGGGTTGTATTGAACCTATAGGTAAATTTAGAAGTTCCTGAAATCTTGACAATAAGTGAGATTTCCTATGTGCATGGAATATCTCTCCATTATTTAGATCTTCTTTGATTTCTTTCATCGAAGTTTTTCAGTTCCCTTTGTATAGATCTTGTACATATTTTGTTAGATGTATACCTAAGTACTTATTTTTTAGTGCTAATGTAAATGGAATAATATTTTTTAATTTCAAGTTCCAATTGCTCATTTCTGGTGTAAGAAAGCAATTTGTATGTTAACCTTATATCCTACAACACAACCTTGCTATATAGTTTATTAATTTCAGAAGTATTTTTGATAATTTGGGGGGATTTTCTACATGAATAGTCATGTCACCTGTGAAGAAAAGCAATTTTATTTCTTCTTCCCCAATCTGCATACTTTTTATTTCCTTTTATTTTCTTACTGCATTAGCAAGGACTTACCATACAATGTTGAATAGAAGTGGTAAAAGAGACACACTTGCCATGTTCCTGATTTTAGTGTAAAGTATTAATTTCTTCTTATGACATATGTTACCTGTAGGTTATTTGTAGATCTTCTTTATAAAGTTGAGAAAGTTCTACCCTATCCTTACTTTGCTTAGAGATTTTCTTCATAATGAACGTGTGTTAAAATTTGTCAAATCCTCTCTTTGCATCAATTGATATGATTATAGATTTTTCTTCTTTAACCTGTTTATTTGATGGATTACATTAATTGATTTTTGAATGTTGACTCAACCTTGCATACCATATAAATCTCACTTGATCATAATGCATTATGATCATTGTAATATCAGTATTATGATCAGTATACATTATAAAACTCTATTTGGTAATATTTTGCTGAGGACATTTGCACATATGTTCTTGAGTGGTATTGCTCTGTAGTTTTCCCTACTTGTAATGTGTTGTCTAGTTTTGGTATTATGGTAATACTGGCCTCCTAGAATTAGTTGGGGAATATTCAGTCTACTTTCATTTCTTGGAACAGATTGTATAGAATTGGTATGATTTCTTCCCTAAATGTTTAGAATTCACCAGTGAAGCCATCAGGGCCTTGTACTTTTTGTTCGGGAAAGTTATTAATTCTTGATTCAATTTCTTTAATAGATGTCAGCTTATTCAGATTATCTATTTCACCTTTTGTGAATTTTGATGGATTTTGCCTTTCAAAGAATAGTTCTACATTATCTAGTTAATCATATTTTTAAGCATAGAATTGTTCAAAATATACCTTTATTATCCTGTTAATGACCATGGGATCAATAATGGCCACTTCTTCAACTCTGTATTAGTAATTTATGTCTTCTTTCTTTGTTTCTTAGTTAATGTGGCTAGAGGGCTATCAATTGTACTGATCTTCTCTATTGATTTTTCTGTTTTCAATTTCATTGATTTTTGCTCTGATGTTTATTATTGCCTTTTTTGTTCTTTGCACTAATTTGCTTTTCCTTTTTAGTTTCTCAAAATGGAAACTTACGTAGAAGCGTAGATTATTGATTTTCTTTCTTCTAATGTATGCATTGAATGCTATAAGTTTCTCTTTAAGCACTGCTTTACTTCATCACACAAGTTTTTATATAAATTGTATTTTTATTTTAACAATATTGTAAATATCTCTTGAGATTTCTTTGACCCAGGCATTTTTTTAAGAAACGTTTTGTTAAAATTTCCAATTATTGGGATTTTCCTGATGTCTTTCTGTTATTGATAACCAGCTTAATTCCACTGTGGCATGAGAGCATACTTTGTATAATTTCTATTCTTTTACTTTTGGTAAGGTGTGTTTTGTGGCTCTGAATATGGTCTACATTGTTGAATGTTTTATGTGAACTTAAAAAATGTGTGTTCTCTTATTGCTAGATGAAGTAATCTGTACATTTCAGTTAGGTCTAGTTGATTCATGGTGCTATTCAGTTCAGCTGTATTCCTACTAATTTTCTGCCTGCTGGAACTGTCCATTATAGATTTGGATTATAATCCTGAAAGACAAAAATCCCAAACACTATAATTTCAAATGTTGAAATGCCAAAAGATCAAAATCTCCAACGTCTAAAATAGCTAATGTCTAAAATCCCAAAAATCACAATCTTAATATATTAAAATTCTGAATTATGAAAACCTGAATTCTGGGGAAGAGGTCAGTGCATATTCAGATGTATGCAGGATAGTTGCATCCTGATAGTTGCATCATGTTAGGCAAAATTATTACCTTGGTATTGTCTTCATTTGCATTTGGTGGAAAACTCAGATGAGTGGACTGGCCACGTGATACAGACCCGAAAAAGCTTTTGTTTAAAAATATGTCATTTGTCTGCATTAGCATTTCTCCCAGCTGATGAAATTCCAGAAGTTTTTATTGAATTAAGGACACATTTGTCTGAAGAAGCCAGCAAAGTTAACGACTAATTTGAAAATAATTATAAGCGCAGTAGATTAGAAGACATGTATGCAATGGAATTGCTGTTCAATCACCAGTATTTTTGCTGAGAAATTCATGGTCAGTATATGAGTGCATGCAAAATGGATTTTAGCATAACCAGAACAACAAAGAAGCATGCCACAGAAAATAGAAACATTTAATTGGGAATGCTCACGTCAAAGTATATAGAATCACAGAAGAATTTCAAAAAGACCAATGCCATGTAGACTATGAATGTGAACATAGTCTCCAAGGAAAGCCATGCTCTAAAAGAACAAAAGCAGCTATTCAACACGATGCAAGGCTTCAAAAAATAGTTAACGATAATCAAAGTTGGCCAGCTTTTATGGATTACCTCTGGGCAACTGCCCACAACTTAGTCCTGTAATACACTTTTTCATATGTCAAATATTCTTTTTAGTTTTTTTTGCATTTCTTCTCCTTTGTTTTTCTTGTTTTAATTTTTTCCACTATTTTATATTGTCAGCATTATTTTTTACAATAACTATACTGTGTATTTCATCTTCATTCCCAATACTGGAGGAATAAATTGTGTAAAGACTTTTAAATAGTTCTAATTTATTTTATGCATTTTTTGCAAATTTGAGTTTTTGAAAGTGCATTATAACAACATTGACTTTATGTTTAAGCATTTTGAGTGTACATAAAAAACATTGAAACTTCCTCAGTAAATTACAAGAAGTCCTTTTGCACATCTGCATTTGTGAGAGATAACATTTCTTGAGGTCGTAGCTTCTTGGATGACTGGTATAATGATGCAACGTGTCACTCCCAGGGTTTTTGCTTGATCTTGCCAAAAGACTTAGGTTTTCCATTACAATATTTAATATGACTGAAGTTATAAATTTCGGTGTACACACAATTACCAACCATAGTGACATGCGTTTATACATTTTGCTTTTTGACCTATTTCTTTCTGAACACAACTTGTCAGTTCAAAACTGTTATACCCACGCAACTGTCATTAGTATACTTGAGTGTTCATGTTTGCAAAAATATGTATCTTATTGCCTATTTTATTGCATAAACTGGCCTATAATGCATTCTGTCGTGTTTTCATGTTTCTTAAATAAATCTCCTTTAAAAATGTAAATAAATATCTTCTTTAAAAATTTTAAGTTATTTTTTCCAGAATTATATTTTTGGGATTTTGATCTTTCAGGATTATAATTTTCTAGACTTCATTTAAGGATTTTGACCCTCTGGGATTTCAACAGTCAGGATTATGGAGTTTGAGATTGTGTCTTTGAGGATTGTGATTCGCTCCCATCCATTACTAACAGAGGGGTGCATTTATGTATCTCCCTCATAGTTCTTTCAGTTTCTGTCTCATGTATTTTGACACTTTACTAGGTACATACACATTAAGGATTATGTCTTCTTGGGGAATTGATCATTTTAGTACTATTTATTAACTCTACCCTTGACAATTTTCCTTGCACTGAAGTCTGCTCTGTTTGAAATTAATTCATTTAAGCCTTTAATCCATTTTGAGTTTATTTATTTTTGTATGTGATGTGGGTTAATATACAAAAGATAAGGGTGCAATTTATGCATGTAGATATGCAGTTTTCCTAGACCATTTATTGAAGACTATCATTTCTCCATTGTGTGTTCTTGGCACCGTTGTCAAACATCAGTTGACCATAGATGTGTGGATTTATTTCTGGCTCTCTATTCTGTTCCATTGGTCTACATGTCTTGTTTTTATGCCAGTTCCACACTGTTTAGATTATTAAAGCTTTGTAATATATTTTGAAATCAACAATTGTGGTGCCTCTAGCTTTGTTATTATTAAAGATTGTTTTGGCTATTTAGAATTTTGTGGTTCCATTCATACACACACACACCATTTTCCTTATTTATTCATTTGTATATACACACAATAAAATATTATTCATTCATTTGTATACACACACACAATAGAATATCATTCAATCTTCAAAAGGGGAAATCCTGCCATTTGTGATAATGTGAATGAACCAGAGGACATTATGTTAAGTGAAACAAGCCAGACATAGACAAATAATGCATGATCTCACTTATATGTAAAATGCAAAATAGTCGAACTCATAGAAACAGGGAGTAGAATGGTTGCTGCGATGTGCTGGGGGGAGAGAAAAATGGGAGCGTATTGGTGAAAGGGTTAAAAATTTCTGTTATAGAAGATTAATAAGGCCAGGTGCAGTGGCTCACACCTGTAATCCCAGCACTTGGGAGGCTGATGTGGGTGGGCCACTTGAGGCCAGGAGTTCGAGATCAGCCTGGCCAACATAGTGAAAACCCATGTCTACTAAAAAATACAAAACTTAGCTGGGTGTGGTTGTGCACACCTGTAATCCCAGCTACTTGGGTGGCTGAGGCACAAGAATCACTTGAACCTGGGAGGCAGAGGTTGCAGTGAGCAGAGATCACGCCATACACCAGCCTGGACAACAGAGCTGACACTGTTAAAAACAAAAACAAAAACAAGAATAAATACTGGAGCTCTAATGTACAACAATTTGACTATAGTCAATAATACTGTAATGTATACTTGAAGTTTGTTAAGATCTTAGGTGTTCTCACCACACTCACACAAAAGGTAACTATGTGAGATGATGAGTATCTTAATTAGTTTAATTGTGGTGATTATTTCAGTATATATAGATATTAAAATATCAAGTTGTACATCTTAAATATATGCTTTTTGTCAATTATACTTCAGTAAAGTTGGAATAAAAAAGGCGGTTAGAAATAGCCTTCACAAAAATTGAAAGGTCTGCCACCCTAGTGAAATTTCTGAGGTCCAATATTTGAGACATGTTGCAATATTACCTTTAAAGTAAAGGAAACATTTCTGCCACTGTTAACACTGAGAGACACAATGTTTGTGGGACCCTTTAAAACTCTTGAGGTAATATATGCCACATTTTAATGTTCATTTCTAATAAAATTATTGAACAATCCATAGACTTGCAATTTAGAATGGGGACCAGAACAAGAGAAGATTCTGCACCTAGCCAAAATGGGTCAAATGAAACTCATAAGTATGAGTGTGGAAAATAAAGACGCAGTATGGTTATGTTTAAAAATTTCTAAATGAAAACAAACATCTTGCTTGGAGCAAAATCATTTTCTCTAGCAAACATAACTCCTCTTTTGAGACACAGCTCTTCTGGCTCAATACTGAACCCTGGTAGAAACCATGTGCCCCAACATGGTACTGTAAGTCAAGGCTCTCCAACTCCTGGGCCATGGACTAGTACTGGTCTATGACCTGTTAGGAACTGGGCTGCAGAGCAAGAGGTGAGCAGCAGGTGAGTGAGTGAAGCTTCATCTGTATTTCCAGTCACTCTCCATTGCTTGCATTACCTTCTGAGCTCACCCTCCTGTCAGATCAGTGGCAGCATTAGATTCTCATAGAAGTGCAAACCCTTCCAAACTGCACATGCAAGGGATCTACACTGCACGCTCCTTATGAGAATCTAATGCCTGATGATCTGTCACTGTCTCCCATCACCCTGAGATGGCACCATCTTGTTGTGGGAAAACAAGCTCAGGGCTCCCACTGATTCTACATTATGGTGAGTTGTATAATTATTTCATTATATATCACAATGTAATAATAACAGAAATAAAGTGCACAATAAATGTAAGCACCTGAATCATCCCCAAACCATTTCCCCTGACCCCCATTCATGTAAAAATTGTCTTCCACAAAACCACACCCTGGTGCCACAAAGGATGGGGACCACTGCTCTAAGTGACCATACAGCCTGTGATTCCCAGAAGGAACAAAAATTATCAGGTCCATTAAAACATAAATTTGGGCATGCAAAGAAGCACTCCGTTATCAAATGGAAGTTATACAGATGATATTAATATATTTATTTTGTTTTTTAATGATAGTCTATTAAAATATTTGTTTAGATAGACCTTTTATAAAACAATTACTTTTTAAATATTTTATAGATCTCTGGTCATCTTGGTCTATGAATTTATAATGCAGTGTGGTCAATGGTTACCTGACTGTGCAGTGTGTTAGGGGATCAGCTGAAGCCCAGACTTTAGTGTTATGTCACACCTGAAGAGCTTGCAAAGGAAAAGGAAGATGACCTCTCAGTGTAGAGCACATGAACTGAAAGCTATAATCTGTCAACTCTCACACTGCCAACAAATTTCTTGATTCGCAGATTTTATTGAAGCAATGTTATGTAGCAATCTGCTTAGACTATAACATGTGCCTAGGATTTTGCAGAAGCCATTGTTGGTTCTTTTCTGTTTCCCTCAGATAATCATTCCTGTAGCGTTTTTAAGATGCTTTGATTTTATTTTTAAGAACACTAAAGTAGTATCATGATTCTCTGCATTTTCTGAGAGGCAGATCTAGATGATCCTAAAAGCACAGTAGAAGCAAGCTTAGAACTCCCAAAAATACTCTCTCATCTTGCCTATGCACATCCTACCAGCCTGGATATTATGCAAGAGAAGAGCACCACCCATCTTATATGCCTGATAAAAACATTTTTTCCTTTCTAGAAGTTTCTCGCCATTCTTCCCTAATCTGCTTTTTTTCTCCTTTGTGATAACTGTGTTAATCTTGGGGAAATTAGTCCTTGGTAGTTTAGCAACATGGTAAAAAGTCTTAGGTTAATAATTGTGTCCTGAGTGTTGAAGTTTGCTTCGTTTCATTCTTCTCCCTCAGCCCATAAGCAGAATCATTTCCTTAGAGCCAAAGTTGTGAACATATTTTTCTCATTTGCACTGAGAGCCAATTTCCCTGTGTAATTCTGCTTTGTTGATTCCTTATATTAAGTTTTTATTAGTTGCATCATTCTTTGGAATATTTTACACGAGCTGATATGACCTCTTTATATGATGTAATATGATATAAAGAATGCTTCAGCTATCTTCATCTTGTGTCTTCCATCATACTAAACTCTCTGCTACTCATGTATTCACTGTCTTTATTTGTGAAACACAAATGTAATACATATATTGAAGTTTGTTTGAGGTTTACATGAGCTTTATCTTGCATAACTTCATTTAAGGGGATCTGGACATTTTTGAGAAAATAGGTACTGTTGAAAGGTCTCTAACAAGATAAATTACAAAAGGTAGCATGAGCACTATTCATGATAGCAAAGAAATGGAATCAACCTGAGTGCCCGTTGACAGTGGATAGGATAAAGCAAGTGTTGTACAAATACACCATGGAATATTATGTATTCATAAAAAGAATGAAATTGTGTCCTTTGCAGCAATACAGATGCAACTGGAGCCCTAATCCTAGGCAAATTAATGAAGGAACAGAAAACCAAATACCGCATATTCTCACTTATAAGTGGGAGCTAAACAATGGATACACATGGACATAAAGATGGCAACAGTAGAAGCTGGGGACTACTAGAGGGGGGGAATTTAACTATTGGATACTATGCTCATAGCTGGGTGACAAGATCATTTATATATCAAACCTCAGCATCACGTAATATACGCAGGTAGCAAACCTGCACATGTATTCCCTGAGTCTAAAATAAAAGTTGGAAGATAAAAAATAAGTAAATATAAATAAATAATAGCATATGATATGGTTTGGCTATGTCCGCACCCAAATCTCATTTGAATTCCCATATGTTGTGGGAGGGATCCAGTGGGAGGTAATTGAATCATGCAGGCAGGTCTTTCCTCTGCTGTTCTTGTGATAGTGAATAAGTCTCACAAGATGTGAGGGTTCTGTAAGGGGGAGTTTCCCTGCACAAGATTTCTCTTCTCTTGTCTGCCACCATGTGAGATGTGCCTTTTACCTTCCACCATGATTATGAGGCCTCCCCAGCCACATGGAACTGTAAGTCCAATAAACCTTTCTCTTGTAAATTGCCCAGTCTCAGGTATGTCTTCATCAGCAGCATGAAAACAAACTAATACAGTAAATTGGTAGCACAAGTGGGGTGCTGCTGAAAAGATACCCAAAAATGTGGAAGCAACTTTGGAACCAGGTAACAGGCAGAGGTTGGAACAGTTTGAAGGGCTCAGAAGAAGACAGGAAAATGTGGGAAAGTTGGAAACTCCATAGAGACTTGTTGAATGGCTTTGACCAAAATGCTGATAATGATATGAACAGTGAAATCCAGGCTGAGGTGGTCTCAGATGGAGATGAGGAACTTATTGGGAGCTGGAGCAAAGATGACTCTTGTTATGTTTTAGCAAAGAGACTGGTGGCATTTTGCCCCTGCCATAGAGATTTGTGGAACTGTGAACTTGAGAGAGAATATTTAGAGTATATGGTGGAAGAAATTTCTAAGCAGCAAAGCATTCAAGAGGTGACTTGGGTGCTGTTAAAGGCATTCAGTTTATAAGGGAAGTAAAGCATAAAAGTTTGGAAAATATGCAGCCCGGCAATGCAATAGAAAAGAAAATCCCATTTTCTGAGAAATCCAAGCCAGCTGCAGAAATTTGCATAAGTAATAAGGAGCTGAATGTTAATCGCCAAGACAATGGGGAAAATGTCTCCAGGGCATGTCAGAGGTCTTCACGGCAGCCCCTCCCATCACAGGTCTGGTGGCCTAGGAGGAAAAAGTGGTTTTATGGGCTGGTCCCAGGGTTCCCATGATGCATGCAGCCTAGGGCCTTGGTGCCCTGCATCCCAGTCACTCCAGCTGTAGCTGAAAGGGGCCAATGTACAGCTCAGGCCACGGCTTCACAGGGTGCAACCCTCAAGCATTGGCAACTTCCATGTGGTGTTAAGCCTGCCAGTGCACAGAAGTCAAGAATTGGGGTTTGGGAGCCTCTCCTAGATTTCAAAGGATGTATGAAAACTCCTGAATGTCTGGGAAGAAGGTTGCTGCAGGGGTGGGGCTCTCATGGAGAACCTCTGCTAGGGTGGTGCAGAAGGGAAATGTGGGGTTGGAGCCCCCACAGAGTCTCTACTGGGGCACCTCCTAGTGGAGCTGTGAGAAGAGGGCCACCGTCCTCCATACCACAGAATGGTAGATCCACTGACAGCTTGCACTGTGCACCTGGAAAAGCCACAGACACTCAACATCAGCCCATGAATGCAGCCGGAGGGAGGCTGTACCCTGCAAAACCACAGGAGCGGAGCTGCCCAAGACCATTTGAACCCATCTCTTGCATCAGCATGACCTGGAGATCATTTGTGAGCTTCAAGATTTGACTGCCCTGCTGGATTTTGGACTTGCACGGGGCCTCCAGCCCCTTTGTTTTGACCAGTTTCTCCCATTTGGAACAGCTGTATTTACCCAATGCCTGTACCTCATTGTATCTAGGAAGTGACTAACTTGCTTTTGATTAAACAGGCTCACAGGCAGAAGGAATTTGCCTTGTCTCAGATGAGACTTTGGACTGTGGACTTTTGAGTTAATGCTAAGATAAGCCTTTGGGGGACTGTTGGGAGGGCATGATTGGTTTTGAAATGTGAGGATGAGATTTGGGAGGAGTCAGGGGCAAAATATGGGTTGTCTGTGTCCCCACCCAAATTTCATCTTGAATTCCTACATGTTGTTGGAGGAACCCAGTGGGAGGTAATTGAATCATGGGGGCAGGCCTTTCCTGTGCTGTTCTTGTGATAGTGAATAAGTCTTATGAGATCTCACGGTTCTATAAGGGGGAGTTTCCCTGAACAAGCTGTCTCTTCTCTTGTCTGCTGCCATGTGAGTCATGCCTCTCATCTTCTGCCATGATTGTGAGGCCTCCCCAGCCATGTGGAACTGTAAGCCCAATAAACCTCTTTTTTCTGTAAATTGCCCAGTCTCAGGTATGTCTTTATCAGCAGTGTGAAAGTGAACTAATACGGCATGGAAGGAAAATTATACTATTGGCAGTACACAGGGTCTTGCTACAGCAAGTAAGACACGTGATTCAGAAGAACTCAGCAGGTTTGACAATCCATATGTGAAGAAATAAAAATCTGTAATTGAAAATAAGGAGCAAAAAGTGAGAGGAACACAGATACCTCCTGATTGTCAAAAGAGGAAAAACATTCATAAGACATTATCACTTGGGTCTATGTTGGGGAAAGAGGGATGTAAACTTTCCATGCAAATTTCACTCATCTTTCCTTATGAAATTCTAGCATGCTCTTCCAATCTGCTTACACTGATTTCCCTTTCCATGAAATCACATGGAGTAATTTTTACTAATTATTTTAGCATTTAATCATTGCTTTATATTTCTTCTCAACTAGGTAATGCATGTAAATTTTATATGACCACTGGGATCATAGGGTCATTAAAGGAGAATATAAGCATGAATATATTTATTATTCTAACAGAGAATATTAAGAACAGAAAACTAATATATGCATATTGAATTGAATAAGAAACTAATAACGACTGAATACTGCTAGAGACTGAATTAGGGAATGTGTGAAGAAAAGGATAAATTATACAATATGTTATCTCATTTGGTTATCATTACAAAATAATTTCCAGAAGATAATGTGCTCGAGTTTCACAGTAATTCTGTACATCTGGTTCATCTATTTCACATCAGCTATCAAGTCATTTAATTTACCGCTTCTGCTTTCCACTGGTAAAGTATATTTGAAAGAACTAATTTGCATGTCTTAAATATTAATGTGTAAGCTTTATATGGATTTAAATGTGCTAGGGCAAATGAAAAATAATGTCAATGCCTTCTTATGTCATCTGTCCAATGGGGCAGTATGAGCATCAATTTTAAAACTACTAGACAGTAAAGACGTTTTGAAGAAATTATTGAGATTAGAGTCATATACTGTAATCCAAAAAATCTTAGAGCAAGAGACAGAAAGAGAAGTTCTTCTCTTCTGGGGTGATGAGTCGTATCCAGGGGAACATGAGCAGAAATTTTAGGGGGCTACACAGGACTGGTGAGAGTTGGTAAGCATTGTGGAATGATGTGAAGCCTTTCTGAGAGAGAGCACTTTAAGATCATTTGAAAATGAGTTCAGTAGTTAGAAACAGAAAACGTAGTGTCTGTGTATATAAATCATTCATTGTGCTGGCGATTGTTAGACTGTGGAAATTTTTTTTCATTTCCCTAACTTCATAATCCATGCATGTAGTGTGGGTTAATGGTACTGACCAATTCACAGGATTAAATAACATAGTCTTACTGAGTCAGTTTGTGATGGAGGCAGATAGCTGGGCTGGCAGAAAAAGGTGTTCCCACATGAAGCTTATCCTAGATGGAGCAGGAGTGTGGGTCTCCTGACTCTCCTTGGTATCATTCTCTATGTCACTCCCAGTGAAAGTGATCAGATACAAAGGCAAAAAGAAAAAACTGGCACAAATGTAAAAATGAGTAGGAGAGGAAAAAAATAAGAGACTCCTTGCACATCATGGCCTCTGCAAGTGGCTCTCACAGAGATGAAAGGACTTCACACCCCTGCATGAAAGTACTGATGTCCAGAGATATTAGCTGACTTATTGAAAATCACGTAATGGCAGGATAAGGATAGGAATATGTGTTTCTGGATAACTTCTCCAGTAAAATTTTTACCGTAACACTTGCTACTAATCTTGATATTACTGAGCAAGCATCAATAGCCCTCAAAACAAGCAAAAAGTTGTAGTGACAGTGTCTCTCAGTGATCTTGTATTGACTTTTCTGAAACAGTCAGGTTGATGTTGACTTATAGTTATTTCTGTTTGATAGTCTCCCATTTTATCTATCAGTGTTGGCAGATATTATACCTTGCTAGATCTGTCTTTTAGGAAAAATAAATCTGGTCCTAGAGTTGGTAGGTTGAATGACAATGCTGCTGGCTGTTTTCTGAAAATACCATTGAGATGAAGAAATACAGTATCTTCTTTAACTAAAGAAACAGGCCAGGTGCAGTGGCTCATGCCTGGAATCCCAGCACTTTGGGAAGCCGAGGCAGGAGGATCTCCTGAGACCAAGAATTTGAAACCATCCTGGGCAACATAGTGAGATCCCATTTCCACAAAAATATTAAAAATTAGCTGAGCTTGATGTTTCATGCCTGTGGTTCCAGCTACTCAGGCAGCTGAGGTGGAAGTATCCCTTGAGACGAGGAAGTTGGGGCTGCCGTGAGCCATGATTCTGCCACTGCACTCCAGCCTGGGTGTCAGAGTGAGGCCCTGTCTCAAAAAATAAATAAATAAAAATAGCTCAAAAAATACTTTTCAGAGATCTTTATATTCTATGTTCAGTGGAAACCACTGCCCAAAGAAATGTTCATACTGGCTATACCATTTATTTCAATGAACTGATGCTCACTTTCATCATTTCTTTTGACAAGTTGAGGTTGTCATTCAACCATCAACTAACTTGACGTTTTCTTCTCTCTTCCAGTGCTGTAATAGCTTATCACTATTCTGTGACATCTTAACTTCTATTTTTAGATTTTGCTCAGTTTTCTTTTTCTTTTTCTTTTTTTTTTTTTTTAAGACAGAGTCTCGCTCTGTCACTCGGGCTGTAGTGCAATGGTCCGATCTTGGCTCGCTGCAACCTCCACCTCCTGGGTTCAAGAGATTGGCCTGCCTCAGCCTCCCAAGTAGCTTGGATAACAGACGCGCGCCACCATGCCCAGCTATTTGCTCAGTTTTTAGATACAAAATGTATACGATGGCAACTGAGATGAGAATCAAAGTATTTCTTAATTTAAAATCAGAAATAACCACAATTAAAAGTGAGAAAAGTGAGATAATCTGGCAGGCAAGATAATGTCTAGGATGTAAATATTCCTACTTTACGGAAATAGGTTATCATCACATACATTGTTAACCTTTCTGTTTAGATATGAAATATGTTTTCATTATTGCTGACTGCTTCTAACAAGGTCTAAAAACATGTATGTGTTATTGATGTTTCTTCCCAGTTCTGAACTCTTGTCAATTTTTTGGAGCTAAATTTAATATTATTACAATGGTGTGAATGTTCGTGTCCCCCCCAAAATTCATTGAAACCTAATCGACAATGCGATAGTAGGAGGAAGTGGGGCTTTTAGGATGTGATTAGGTCAAAAAGTAGAGCCCTCATGAATGGGATTAGTGTCCTTATAAACGGATACCAGAGAGGTTCCTTACTCCTGTGCCACGTGATATAACTTGGCTTTGCAATCTGGAACCATAATCTCATCTCGAATTGTAATCCCCAGGTATTGAGGGAGGAACCTAGTGGAAGATGATTAGATCATGGAGGCAGTTTCCCCCATGCTGTTCTCATGATAGTGAGTGAGTTCTCACGAGATCTGATTATTTTATAAGTGTTTGGCAAGCTCCTCCTTTGCTTGCTCCTCTCGCTCCTGCTGCCTTGTGAAGAAGGTGCCTGCTTCCCCTTCTGCCATGATTGTGTTTCCTGAGGCCTCCCCAGCCATACGGAACTGTGAGTCAATTAAACCTCTTTCCTTTATAAATTACGCAGTCTTGGTTATTTATTTATAGCAGTGAAAAAACGGACTAAGGCACCATGTGAGGACACAATTAGAAAGTACCATCTATGAACCAGAAAGTTGGCCCTCACCACACACTGTATCTGCCAGCACCTTGATCTTGGACTTCCAGCCTCCAGCACTGTGAGAAATAATTGTCAGTCTCACTACTGTGATCCACTAAGAATTTGTGTTCATAAGACATAGCTACAAGATGAGAGAGGGGTGCTTGTCCCACATCTGACTTTGTGTAAATTTAAATAAATCATTGCAGTATAAATGCACTAAGGCCCTGAGTGTGTCTCTTGTGGCAGATGAGTATCAGGGAGGAGAGTCTCCAGAGGGTAGAATGAGGTAAATTCTTCTGGCTGGTAATTATGGAAAGATCAAGGTCTCTCAGGCTGTCCCAGGTTGAATCCTCCAGAAGTGGCCACCAAGGTGGGGTCTGGCAGGCAGGATGTTTATAAGGGATAAACACATGTGGAAGGGAGGAGGAGACAGAAAACCTACAATGTAAGTGCAACAAAGACTCATTCAACCCCACAGGCAGCTCTGAAACACCTCAGAAATCGATGTAGATATTCTAGAATAAAATTGATTTTAGGAATCTATTATCCCATGATACTATTTTAATTATACGCTAAATAGGATGACCAACCTTTCTAAATGTGGTTTTTAAATAATTGCCAGATTAGGACTGAAAATAATATAGACATAATAGAGACTACTATACGTTTCCTCTAAATTATTTTGAATTAAATAACTTCCATTTTTATTGATTCTCCAGTTGTGACCTTTTCATTCATAGTTCAGTTCTTGACAAACTGTTATTAAGGAATGGGAGGCAAGCAGCCCTGGGTCACAGAATTCATCCTGGTGGGATTCCAGCTCTGTGCAGAGATGGAGATCTTTCTCTCTTGCATCTTCTCGCGATTTTATGCCTTCAGTCTACTGAGGAATGGCATGAACATGGGACTCACCTATCTGGATGACAGAGACGACAGACTACACACCCTCATATACATTTTCCTCTCACACCTGGCCATCAATGACATGTACTATGCTTCCAACAATGTTCCAAAGAGGCAGGTGAACCAAATGAACCAGAAAAAAAAAACTTTGTTCTATGGATAAAGCAGATATTTTTGTATTTGGCTTTTGCTCACACAGAGTGCCTAATTTAGGCAATGATGTCCTGTAATAGATATGTGGCAATCTGCTAGATCTTTCTCCAACCCTTTACGTTGAGCCTATGGGTGTTGTTATGTGTGAGATGAGTCTCTTGAATATGGTAGACAGATGGGTCTTATTTTTTTAATGCAAATTATCACTCTGTGCCATTTAAGTAGGCAATTAATCCACAGTTAATATTGGTATGTGAGGATTTGATCCTGTCATGAAGATGTTAACTGGTTGCTTTGTGGTTTCTATTGTGTAGTTGCTTTACAGAATCTGTGGGCTATGTACTTAAGTGTGTTTTTGTAGTAGAAGACATCATTCTTTTGTTTCCATGTTTAGAGCTCCCTTAAGGGTCTCTTGTAAACCCCGTCTAGTGGTAACACTTTCCCTTAGCACTTGCTTGTCTGGGAAAGATTTTATTTTTCCTTCATTTATGAAGCTTAGTTTGACAGAATATGAAATTTTTGGTTGGAATTTCTTTTCTTTAAGAATGCTGAAAATAGTTATCTAATCTCTCCTGGCTTGTAGAGTTTCTGCTGAGAAGTTCGCTGTCAGCCTGATGGGGTTGCCTTTGTATGTAATCTGACCTTTTCCTGTAGCTGCCCTTAAGATTTTTTTTCTTTAGCACTGACTTTGGACACTCTCATGACTATATGTGTTGGTGAGGTTCACTTTGTATAGTATCTCGCAGGTGTTTTCTGGATTTTTTGTATCTTGGTGTCTAAGTTTCTGGCAAGATTAGGAAAATTTTCTTGAATTATTCTATCATATAAGTTTTTCAGGTTGTTTAATTTTTCTTCCTCCTCTAAGGAATGCCAATAATTCATAGTTTTGGTCACTTTACATAATCTCATATTTCTCAAAAACTTTGT
The DNA here is from genome assembly GCF_000001405.40 of Homo sapiens. Taxonomy (NCBI): domain Eukaryota; kingdom Metazoa; phylum Chordata; class Mammalia; order Primates; family Hominidae; genus Homo; species Homo sapiens. Next base: position 144,177,954 of record NC_000007.14, read on the forward strand.
TCATTTTTAAAAATTATTTTAGATTTATTTTTCTCTGACTGGATTAGTTCAAAAGACTCATCTTCAAGCTCTGAAATTCTTTCTCCTGCTTGCCCCAGCTATTAATAATTCTTTCAATTGTATTTTGAAATTCCTTGAGTTTTTGAATTTCAGAAGCTCTGATTGATTTCTTTTTAATATTATTATCTGATTCTTCATTTTCTAGATTGCTTTAGAAGTTTCTTTGCATCGATTTCCAATCTTTTCTTGGATCTCATTGAACTTCTTTGCAGTCCACGCCTTGAATTCCTTATCTGTCAATTACGAGTTTCCATTTTGGTTAAGGACCGTTGATGGAGAGCTAGCGTAATGTGAATGTAGATTCAGATCTTTCATGGTGCCAGCATTCTTACACTGGTTCCTTCTTATCTGAAGATGCTAAACTTCTAATTTTTATAATTATTTTTGAGTAGGTAGGATTTTTTCTTTTTCTTCCTTTCTCTCTCTAGATTTTTATTTTTCTTTCCCTTTCCCTTTCCTCCTCTCCCTAGAGGCTGTGACTGAGTAGGGTCTTTTGACTTTGCTTCCATAACCCTATGCACTTCTGTCCGCAGGTTTTATATTGGGCTGGGTACTTTGACCTACAAGCCAGTAGATGGCGCTTATGGGTAACAGCAGGTTGCAGCCAGTGGGGCTGGGTATATACTTGATTCTTGTTTACCGAGAAAACACTGGGTGGGGCTGGACCTGGCAAGCCCATCTACAGGTCCCCCAACAATAAGCACTAGCACCAACTCTGAGGGAGAGTCCAGTGGGCAGCCACCAAGTGTCCAGCGGCGTGCCTCGGCGTGGAAGTTGGCCCCCAAATTCTCTGCATAAGGGTGCCAGAGGAAGCCTAATCTCTTACTCCAGGAGAGTGGCTGCTCCAAATGCCTGGAGATCTGCCTGGTTGTGGAGTGGAGAGGGTCTCCTTACACCAATATCCCTGCACAGGAAGGATGGGGTGGCTCAGGCTACTGCTCCAGGTGAGCAGATGCTCCAAATACCTGGAAATCTGTGGAGCAGAGAGGGTCCCACTACACCGCAATCTCTGCACCAGAAGAACGGAGCAGCTCAGATTGCTGATTCACGCTGATGGGCACTCTGAATCCCTGGATGTCTGCCTGGGCATGAAGTGGAGATGGTCCCCTTGCACAAGGATCTCTGCACAGGAAGGAAGGGGCAACCCAGGCTGCCAGCCCATGTGAGCAAGTGCTTTAAATGCTTGGCGATCTGCTTATGTGTAGAATGGAGAAGGCCCTGCTACACCACAGTCTCAAGGAAGTAGGCTGGGTCACCCAAAAATAACACACACAGACCAGTTCTAGTTCATCAAGCTGGCGCTGGCTGAAAGTCTCATTGTCCAGGAGAAACCACAGCCATAGCAGCTCTCCTCTTGCCCAAGGCCTGTGACTGGGGAAAACACAATTCCAGTGCCTACTGTTGAGATGTTTTCCACAGTTCTAGCTGTGGAGGACCCTACCCTGATCCAGAGCAGGTGCTCCAATCTCTATCAATAATGTTTGATATGAGTTGGCCCATACTCAACTGAAAATAAGAAAAATTTTTATGTGCAAGGATAGTCTCTGAGGTTGAGCATTTTTGTTCAGTGATGAGGCATTTGAATTACCAACATGCTTAATGCTATGGAAATCTATGGAACCCATTTCTTTAAGAAATGGATTCATATCTTAATAAAGAACAACTTTTTTATTGTTTAATTGCCGAAACAAGATGTCAGCCTATTACCCTAAGTAACCAGTTCAATCATAGCCATTCACATCATCTAGTACCAAGTGATATTTTTCACGGAAATGAACATGTGGAGGAAAAGTCCTTGACTGGAAAAAAAATTGATACATATAATCATTACAGAGCTGTATATTTATATAAGACTAACTGTGAGATGAATGGAGAAAGCTCTGAGATTCACTGTTGAGTAGCTTATAATTTCCAAGTCCTCTGCTAGACATGAAAACTATTTAGTGTAGAACAAAAATATGATGCTGTATCTCACAACTCCTATATAAATGTTTCCATTCCTACTTTATTTCTGCTTTCATTTTCACGGTGCATCTACAGTCTCTCTTCCAGCCTCCCATTTGTATTTTACAACATGCATAATTACAGATTTATTCTTTAATTATTTCATTTTCATATGATTTTTATATCTCTTGAAAGATTTCTTTGAAACTTCTGTCTTTTTTATTTTCCAGAGAAGCAGAGTATTTTTAGGCAATAATATTTTACCTTATGATGGCTTTCAACTATTAAAAGAAAAAAGGAAAGTAGTAAAATAAATAAATGCAGAGAGTCACCAACTTACAATGATTTCACTTAAGATTTTCAACTGTACAATGGTGGGAAAGTGATATTCATTCAGTAGAAACCATATTTCAAGTACTCATTTTACCATGATGTTTTTCCTTTTCAGTACAGTATTCAATAAATTACATGAAATATTCAACAGCTTACTATAATATAGGCTTTGTGTAAGATGATTTTGCCCAACTGTAGGCTAATGTTAGTGTTCTAAGCATGGTTCAGGTGGGCTAGGCTAAGCTATGATGTTTGGTAGGTTAGGTTTATTAAACATATCTTCAAGCCAGGTATAGTGGTGTGTGCCTATAGTCAGTCCCAGCTCTTCAGGAAGCTGAGGCAGGAGGATTGTTTGAGCTCAAAGACTTTGAGAATATAGTGTACTATGACTACACCTGAGAATAGCCACTGCACTCCAGCCTGGGCAACAGGACAATAGTCTATATTTTTTTAAAAAAAGCATCATCAACTTATAATATTACCAACTTATGATGGGTTCATTGGAACATAATCCTATCATAAGTTGAAGTGTATCTTTATATAGTAGAATATAGTAACATACTACAGACTTATTTTCTCAAAGCATAAAAATAAACCACACTAATGATCATCCATGGGAGAGGGACACCTAGACAATGTCCTGCAAAACGAGAAATACTGGTAAGACATACTTTACATTCCAGACTGAGTCTCTTTCACCATGAAATAAAATCATTAAGAAATTTTTAGTAATATTTTAATTATTATATTTTAATTAAAAATTTAGGTATAGAAAGAAGGTTGTATAGCTTTACATTAAAAATAAATTAGTATGTGACTTGGCTACTTGACACCAAATAGCTTGTGTCAGATTCACCCTCCCACCATAAAAAACTATACAATCTGGCCAAAATATAGAAAAAATTCTTGGCAGGTGTATTAGTCTGTTCTCATGCTGCTAATAAAGACATACCCAAGACTGGGTAATTTATAAAAGAAAGAGGTTTAGTGAACTCACAGTTCCACATGGCTGGGGAGAACTCACAATCATGATAGAAGGCAAAGGAAAAGCAAAGGCACATCTTACATGGCAGACAAGAGAGAGGGCATGTGCAGGGGAGCTCCCCTTTGTAAAACCATCAGATCTCATGAGACTTATTCACTATCACAACAACAGCATGGGAAAGACCCACCCCCATGATTCAATTACCTCTCACCAGCTGCTGAGCATGGTTCAGGTGGGCTGGCTACATGTGGGAATTATGCAAGCTACAATTCAAGATGGGATCTGCGTAAGGACACAGCCAAACCATATCAGCAGGCATTGAAGAACATTGTTGTAGCAAGTCAGGTATGAGATCTTTAAGGAAGGTGAGGCACATGAGGTTAGTACCACATTTGCCAGGATTTTCCAGAAAGGCATCTTCCTGACCTTGGTACAGGAAAATGGGACCCAACCAGGGGTTAGTGGTCTTGGGAACCAAAAGAAGCAATGAATAGAGTTCAAAGCTGCTAAATTGGTTAGGAATTGGGGGTCAATGTACCATATGGGAGAGAGAAAGAACCTAGAAATGGGTGTATACATGCCATTTTGGTCCTTCTGTGACTCCTTAGCTATGTGACAGTTGGCTAAGAAGAGGGGAGACCTTGGAGAAAGAAACTGCTGGGATACAGAAAGCAGAAGAGATCATCAGGGACTGAAAACTTCCTGGAAAGCTACTGGAGTTCAGATCCAGCCAAATGGGGAAATGTTGGCAAACAACTGAGAAACTCAGTTGGGACTCTAAAAATTCTCTTAGGAGAGGTGCAGTATCCCAGGAGTGAGGCATATGTTCTAAGAGGAAAATAAAATATAATTACCATAACACAGCTTAAAACTAGGTCTTGAGAGCAGCAAGATGATCTGCAAGTAATTACAAATTCTGCCCAGAAAAAAAATTCAAAATTCTTGAGTAGTTCTATATCATATTATCCATAAATTCAGCATACTTTAAAAAAAATACCAAATATACAAAAAAGCAAGTAAAACAGACTGATAAGAAATAAATCAGTTATTAAAAACAAACTCATAGATAATCCAGATATTGGAGTTAACAGATAGGGCATCATAACATCTATGATGAATATAAAGGAAAGAAAGAAAAAATGAAAGACAAAACAGGTTGTGTCAGATTTCTTTCTGGAAGCTTTAAAATGCTCACTTTATTTTCATAGATTCTAATTTCCTAAATTATGTTTGATGTTTCAAGCAAAAATCATAGCATTGTCTAGTGTTATTCTAAATGGATGTAAGACAATTATACTACAAATTTGATAGAGTAAAGAGACATAATATGACAGAAGGTTGCTATACTTCACTCAGACTGGAATAAAGATGATACCAATTGACTGTGATAATGTTTATATAAATGAATATACACTAAGCTGTAAAATGCAACCACTAAGCTATAAAATGCAACCAAAAAAACTATAAAAAAGAAGATACACTATAAACACTATAAATAACAAAATGGAATTCTAAAACAAATGTTCAAGTAACCCACATGAAGTCATGAAAAATAAGCAGAGAAACAAGAATTGATAGAGAAAACAAAAAATGTCAGGCTTACGCATTAAAGTATCAATAATTCATTTAATTATGAATGGTCTACCAAGAGATAGATAATAGAAGAGTGTATTTAAAAGTATGACCCTTTCTTGTATGTTTCTTGTATGCTGTGTACAAGAAACTCACTTGAATTTTACCAATACAGGGCAGGCCAAATTAACAGGATGAAAAAAGATATATTACACAAACATTAATGAAAGGAAAGCAAGAGTGTCTGTGTGCATATCAGATAAAGCAAAGAAAACTTCCAAAACCAGAGATTATATAATGATCAAAGGTTTAATCCATGAAGAAGACAGCAATTTTAAAAGTGTATTCACCAAAAAATAAAGCTTCAAAATATGTGATGTGAAAACTGCCAGAACTAAGGCGGGCCGGGCTCAGACCAGCGCTGCCTCAGGATGTGAAGTGTAACAAGAGGGCCAGGGGAGGTGGTGGGGGACAACATGGGCCTGTGAGGCCTGTGGGTGCCCGCGTTCCCCAGCTCCCCCCGCAGCCCGCTCCACAGTGGTCCGCTCCGGTTGGTTGTCACGTGCGCATTCGGGTTCCAGACCCAAGGCTGCGTGTTCTCCACCGCTTGTTGTGGCCAGTGTTACTGCGGTGACCGCCAGAGCAGCCTCGACGCTATGGAGGAGCCTGGTGCTACCCCTCAGCCCTACCTGGGGCTGGTCCTGGAGGAGCTACGCAGAGTTGTGGCAGCACTACCTGAGAGTATGAGACCAGATGAGAATCCTTATGGTTTTCCATCGGAACTGGTGGTATGTGCAGCTGTTATTGGATTTTTTGTTGTTCTCCTTTTTTTGTGGAGAAGTTTTAGATCGGTTAGGAGTCGGCTTTACGTGGGAAGAGAGCAAAAACTTGGTGCAACGCTTTCTGGACTAATTGAAGAAAAATGTAAACTACTTGAAAAGTTTAGCCTTATTCAAAAAGAGTATGAAGGCTATGAAGTAGAGTCATCTTTAGAGGATGCCAGCTTTGAGAAGGCGGCAGCAGAAGAAGCACGAAGTTTGGAGGCAACCTGTGAAAAGCTGAACAGGTCCAATTCTGAACTTGAGGATGAAATCCTCTGTCTAGAAAAAGACTTAAAAGAAGAGAAATCTAAACATTCTCAACAAGATGAATTGATGGCGGATATTTCAAAAAGTATACAGTCTCTAGAAGATGAGTCAAAATCCCTCAAATCACAAATAGCTGAAGCCAAAATCATCTGCAAGACATTTAAAATGAGTGAAGAACGACGGGCTATAGCAATAAAAGATGCTTTGAATGAAAATTCTCAACTTCAGACAAGCCATAAACAGCTTTTTCAGCAAGAAGCTGAAGTATGGAAAGGAGAAGTGAGTGAACTTAATAAACAGAAAATAACATTTGAAGACTCCAAAGTGCACGCAGAACAAGTTCTGAATGATAAAGAAAATCACATCAAGACCCTGACTGGACACTTGCCAATGATGAAAGATCAGGCTGCTGTGCTTGAAGAAGACACAACGGATGATGATAACCTGGAATTAGAAGTGAACAGTCAATGGGAAAATGGTGCTAACTTAGATGATCCTCTGAAAGGAGCTTTGAAGAAACTGATTCATGCTGCTAAGTTAAATGTTTCTTTAAAAAGCTTAGAAGGAGAAAGAAACCACATTATTATTCAGTTATCTGAAGTGGACAAAACAAAGGAAGAGCTTACAGAGCATATTAAAAATCTTCAGACTCAACAAGCATCTTTGCAATCAGAAAACATATATTTTGAAAGTGAGAATCAGAAGCTTCAACAGAAACTTAAAATAATGACTGAATTCTATCAAGAAAATGAAATGAAACTCTACAGGAAATTAACAGTGGAGGAAAATTACCGAATAGAGGAAGAAGAGAAGCTTTCTAGAGTGGAAGAAAAGATCAGCCGTGCCACTGAAGGGCTGGAGACCTATAGAAAGCTAGCCAAAGATCTTGAAGAAGAATTGGAGAGAACTGTTCATTTTTATCAAAAGCAGGTTATTTCCTACGAGAAAAGAGGACATGATAATTGGTTGGCAGCTCGGACTGCTGAAAGAAACCTCAGTGATTTAAGGAAAGAAAATGCTCACAACAAACAAAAATTAACTGAAACAGAGTTGAAATTTGAACTTTTAGAAAAAGATCCTAATGCACTCGATGTTTCAAATACAGCATTTGGCAGAGAGCATTCCCCATGTAGTCCCTCACCATTGGGTCGGCCTTCATCTGAAACGAGAGCTTTTCCCTCTCCTCAAACTTTGTTGGAGGATCCACTCAGACTCTCACCTGTGCTTCCAGGGGGAGGAGGAAGAGGCCCAAGCAGCCCAGGGAATCCCCTGGACCATCAGATTACCAATGAAAGAGGAGAACCAAGCTATGACAGGTTAATCGATCCTCACAGGGCTCCTTCTGACACTGGGTCCCTGTCATCTCCGGTGGAACAGGACCGTAGGATGATGTTTCCTCCACCAGGGCAATCATATCCTGATTCAACTCTTCCTCCACAAAGGGAAGACAGATTTTATTCTAATTCTGAAAGACTGTCTGGACCAGCAGAACCCAGAAGTTTTAAAATGACTTCTTTGGATAAAATGGATAGGTCAATGCCTTCAGAAATGGAATCCAGTAGAAATGATGCCAAAGATGATCTTGGTAATTTAAATGTGCCTGATTCATCTCTCCCTGCTGAAAATGAAGCAACTGGCCCTGGCCTTATTCCTCCACCTCTTGCTCCAATCAGCGGTCCATTGTTTCCAGTGGATACAAGGGGCCCGTTCATGAGAAGAGGACCTCCTTTCCCCCCACCTCCTCCAGGAACCATGTTTGGAGCTTCTCGAGGTTATTTTCCACCAAGGGATTTCCCAGGTCCACCACATGCTCCATTTGCAATGAGAAACATCTATCCACCGAGGGGTTTACCTCCTTACCTTCATCCGAGACCTGGATTTTACCCCAACCCCACATTCTGAAGGTAGAAGCGAGTTCCCTTCAGGATTGATTCCGCCTTCAAAGGAGCCTGCTACTGGACATCCAGAACCACAGCAAGAAACCTGACAATATTGTTGCTTTCTTCAAAAGTAATTTTGACTGATCTCATTTTCAGTTTAAGTAACTGCTGTTACTTAAGTGATTGCACTTTTCTCAAATTGAAGTTTAATGGAATAATAGTTCTCAGGATAGTATTTCGTAAATAAAGATGGTTTGAATATGAATCTTATGAGTAAATCATTTCCATTTTATTATATTCTAGATCATATAACTTTTAACTTGGTGAACTAATCCACTCTTAGAGAAACAATAGTGGGAGTTTTATATATGTAATCTTGCAGGTGAGGAGGCTTTAAATTCTAAAGGTTGTGGTGTCTTCATGCCAAGAACTGTATTCACTGTGGTTGTAGATAAATGTGAAAGTAACTTTATGCTTAATTTAATAAATTTTCATTGATTTTTTTTAAAAAAAGAAAACTGAAAGGAGATATAGATGAATCCACAATTATAGTTAGAAATTTCCTCATGCCTTTTTCAATAATTGATAGAACTAGACAGAAAATCAGCAAGGAGTGTTGGCTTTGGCAGCACTTTCTAAAATCAGAATGATGCCAACAAGATTAAAATGGTTCTTGAATATAGATTACACAAAATTTTGTGAAGCATTTCATGTTTTTAAAAAGAGGAAAAAAAAGAAAATCAACAAGAATATAAAACAACTCAAAATGCCATTAACCAAAAGAATCTATTTGGCATTTACAGAATATTCCACACAGTAACAGCAGAATACACATATTTTTTTTGAGTGCTGACGAAACACATGGCAAGATAGAGCTGTCCTAGGCCCTAAAACTCGCCACAACAAATTTAAAAGAGATAGTAATCATCCAGAGCAGATGAAAACCAGAAATCATTGTAGGGAATCCAATTGGAAATCAGCATAAGAAAGATATGAAAATCCCTAAACATTTGGAAATTTAAAAACACACTTCACAATAATCTATCAGTCAAAGAAGTCTCAAGGAAAAATTTAAAAATACATTGAACTGGATAAACATGAAACTGTGACATATCAAAGTACTGATAGAAGTTTTTCCTTGTCAGGTGACTCCTCAGTCAAAAAGGAGCCCAGTAGAGAAATGGGCTGGTGAGAGCATCTGATGGGCTCTAGCAAGGGAGACAGAGCTGCGGGGGACAGTTCCTCAGCCCTGGACTCTGTCTGAGTCCCGGGAATCTGAGTCACGAGATATGAGGCACCTGGAAACAGGTCACAGTGAGGAGAGTCCTCAGGGGCTATCAGAGCGGGCATTGAAGGCCCATGATGCTCATTCTCCTCTTCCCTGCTCCTCGCTCTTCCCACTGCCCCCAGCCTGCCCCCATCCCAACTCTCTGGCTCTTTCGCCTCCTGCCCGCTGACTGGGACCCCTTTCTCCTTTATACCATGATCTTCTTGCTTTCCAGTTACTTCCTCTGATTTTCCCAAAAAGGTTTGACTCTTTTCGTCCTGAGAGTCCGCCCTGTTCTCTTCTGGCACCTGCAGCTCCCTCTTCCTCTCTTCTCCCTGTTCTGGACCTCCCTGACCCTGAGCCTTCCTCTCCATATCCTCCTGCTCCCACTCACCGTCATTCAGACCCTCTGGCTCCCCAGTGAGCCCCATTCTTTCTCCTTGTCTCCCAAGCATCACATCTTGTACCTGTTCCTGTTTTTGCTTCTGTTCTCCCTTTTCATCATTAACCTGCTCTATCATCTGTTCCTCCCCTAATAGCCCATCGGCACAAACATCCTCCCTCAGAGTTCCTTCCCCCCGAAATCCTGCTTCCTGCTGTCCCTGCTCCTCCAGAACTTGGACCTCCTGGGGATGCAAGAGCCCTTGACTTTCCTGCAGCTCCTCAGATGGCAGCTCTTCCCCCTGCCTGATAGTCCCACTTTCAGCGCCTTCATTCTGGTTGGTCTCTGCAGGATGCTCTTCGCAGGGAGAATAATATCTGGTCTGACCAGAGTTATCTGAAGAGGTTTCCTCTTCTTCTTCTGCCTGTCCAGATCCCAATGTCAAAGAAGTAAGTCCTGGCCAAAATTCCACCTCCTCTTCTTCGCTTCCCAGGTCACTGGAAAATGGGGCCATGTCTAGATGCTCACTCTGAATGGGGCAGGCCCAGAGCTCTGGGGGAGCTAGAGTCCTTGCTTGTCGGCCTGCTAGGCTCTGGGGTACTGCCTCCCAGTGTTCCGGAGTGTCACAGGCCTCAGCCACAAGGCTTTCCTGATTGGGCTCCACATCTGCAGAACCTTCCTTGGGAAAAGAGGGCATCGTCTCAATCGCATAGTCACACACATCCCTTAACTCACTCTGCTGAGTTGCTGAGAGTCTGTGTTCCTCTCTCCACTTATAGGATGGGTCCTCATCTTCTTGAGCTTCAAGCCCCAAGGCAGAGACCTGGCTGCTCCTCATGGGAGCCTCAGGGATAATGCTGAATTCCTCTATGGCAGAGATGGGAGGAGAGGCTCCATGCTGGGCCTCCTCAGCCTCCATCAGGGCTGAATCCTAAGGAGGAATCAAAGACAAATGTTTCTAACAACTCTGCTTTTACCTATCAGAGGAAGAGACCATAAAAAAGAAGAGTGATGCATTTATTTGGTTCCATTTAGGGTCATTCTTTGAGACAACAGGTTCTCAACAAAATAAGCAATAGCCTCTAAAAAACTTGTCATTGATGTATTTATTTCATAAATATTTTCCTAGCGACCCTGTTAAGTGTGGGGCATTCAGTAGTGAATGAGATAAAGATCTTGTCGTCATGGAGACTGTGGTCTTGTGAGGGAAACAGGTCATAATGAACAATTAAATTATAGCAGAGGACCATTGTCAGAGAGTGCCCAGAAGCTCCCAGTTGTCAGTTCTCTCTAGACTCCATTATGTCATCTTCTGTCTCTCCCTGTCTACTCTTCGGACACTAGGAGTGACTCATCCTCATATAACCCCCAGACACAGCAAGGGACACACCTCAGATCTATTAGGCCAGAGAAGCAGTGTCAGGAGAGGGTCTTCCTCTTAAGCTGTGGACATCAGTTAAAATAGGCCAGGCTATGATAGCCAATGTGTGAGGTGCTATGGTTTCATCTTCTTTACAGAGGGTTTGGAGTTTACTCATCTTTCTGTTTTCCATAGTGTCTACTACAGCATTGTAACTAACAGTTTTGTTTCCAATTCTAGAGGCAGCTGTTGTAAAGTGGGATGATAACAGCCTTATTGGATTAGTGTTGAACTAGACACATTACCACCTTGAAGGAAGACCACAGAAGGGTGCTTTCTGCATCACCTTACTCTCCCCTTGGCCTCAGTATCCATATGAACTCTTCTCATTAATTCTTTTGACCTTCCTGTCTTTTGATTTCGACCTTCCTGCCTTTCTTCTCACTTCCAGCAGAACACCTCATCTCCTATTTTGCAAAGAAAATAGAAACTGATGGAACTGGGTTTCTCTCACCTCAATTTCTTGTGATCCAAAGCAACCTGTATTTCCACTCTTTCTATCTTCCGCCCTCAGTCAGGAAAAGACGTATCCCTCCTTTCCATGCTCTGTCATTTCTTGCCTGCTTCCCCAGGAACACTGTGCACTCATACCTTCAACATCCCTGCTGAACAACCCCTGGGGTATGGAAGCATTCCCACATTCTTCTCATCTTTCAAATGACTAGAAGGAGTTGCTCTTATCTGCTGTCTTCATACTCTCACATCCCACCTGCCTCCAACTGAGCTTTGATAGCGGCATTCTGCCAATATTCCCTACAATCAACATGTTGTTAATTCCAAAGAAGACCTTATGGATCTTCACTTTGGGTGGTTCTTGTCAGTATTTGACAGTACTGAGGTTAGAAATACTCTCTTGTTACTTGTGGTATTACATTTTCCTGGTTTTACCCCTTCAGTTTCCTCCAGTCTTTTTTTTTCTTTCTTTTTTTTTTTTTTTTTTGAGATGGAGTCTTGCTCTGTCACCCAGGCTGGAGTGCCGTGGTGCAATCTTGGGTCATTGCAACCTCCACCTCCGGGTTCAAGCGATTCTCCTGCCTCAGCCTCCCGAGTAGCTGGGACTATAGGTGTGTGCCACCACACCCAGCTAATTTTTGTACTTTTAGTAGAGACGGGGTTTCACCATTTTGGCCAGGATGGTCTCAATCTCCTGACCTCGTTATCCACCCGCCTCGGCCTCCCGAAGTGTTGTGATTATAGGCGTAAGCCACTGCACCTGGCCTCCCCTGATCTTTTAAGTAGGTTAAATTGTACCCCTCTTTGTAGCACTTACCAACTATAATTCACTTTACTTTTCCTTTGTAGCATTTATACAATTATAATTATATAATGATGTGTGTATTTTGAGTTACCCTCTATTGCAACCAATAGATAGTAAAATTTATGAGATTAAGAACTATGACTTGCTGAATTATCCATACTTAGCCTAATAGTGGCCTATACTCAGTGTTTAATAAATATTTTTCACATAAAGAATAAAATTCAGGTCAGAATAAAATGTGATCCTTTTACTTCAATGGAATATGCCCACCTTTTCCTAAAATCATGATTAACAGTTTACACAGAACTTTAAACATTTAGAGCTCTATACACAACAAATTAATTTTTCTTATTTTTCATTCTGAAACACTAAGGTTTTCCTGCATACATGTCATTAAAAATAATGAAATGCTTCTTTAAATATGTATGTGCCATACATCTAAGAGTCATCGTATAAGATGGGTACCATTATTCTGCCCATTTTACAGATGAAAAACTGAGTTTCCCAATGCACTTTATATATATAATCCTGACACTCTGGGAGGCTGAGGCAGGTTGACTGCTTGAATCTAGGAGTTTGAGACCAGCCTGGACAACCTGGTGAAACCCTGTCTCCACAAAAAATACAAAAATTAGTGGAGCATGGTGGCACGTGCCTGTAGTTCCAGCTACTTGGGGGCTGAGATGGGAGGATCCCTTGAGCCCAGGAGGCAGAGGCTGCAGTGAGCCAAGATCACATCACTGCATTCCAGCCTAGGTGACAGAGTGAGACTCTGTCTCTAAATAAATTAATTAATTAATTAAAATAAAATAAAATTCTTGTTTCCCTCCTGGCCCAGATTCCCCATATCTAATCAATCACCATGTGCTATTGACCTCGTCTGCTAAATATCCCTTAAGACTGTCCACTTCTATCCCATCCCTCTCCACTGGTGCATGCTGCTACCGTCTCGCCCGGGCCACTGCACCCGGCCACAGCTTGGGCACTGGCGTCCACCCATTTCACGTTATTCCAGTCCTTTCTCCATACAGCACCTAAGTGAGCTTCAAAAGCACCAGTTCTAGCTTAGATTCTTCAGCAGCCTCTGAATGCTCTTGAGATGAAATCTAAATCTTCAGCATGGGTTATACTCCCTGCACAACCTGGCTCTGCCTTCTTCTCTAGCAGCCTATTCACCTGTCACCATCTGTCCCTGCCCCCATCCCCCCCCCCCCCACTGGCTTTCAGTGTCTTTAGCTCACTTCTCTCTGTGTCTCTCACCTGTAGGCCTTTGTAGACACTGCTCCTCTGCCTGGAATCCTCTTTTGCAACAGAGAATCCTTTGCTTCTCCTCAAACACACCTTGCACTTGTCATGTCATATTTAATGTCTATTTTCCAGGCTAGATTATGAGCACCATGAAGGGACAAACACTGCCATATAACCCCCTCTGCCTGAAGCCTAGTTGGCCCTCAACAAAGATGTATTGTATGAATGAATGACGGAAGAATATAGAGTTAGAAGAGTGTGGATCAGTGTTTGGTTGTGCCTCTCTGGTATCTTTGCTGGTTTTAAGACAATTGTAGAAACCATTAAATTTATTTGAACATCCATTTTCTTATCTTTAAAAAGGAGATAAAAGGATTCCTTCACAGTTCTAGTAAAGATTAAATAAGGTAACATAAAAATGTACACTGCTATCTTTAAGGGTCATAGAAATGGTGGCTGTGGTAAATACTGTTGACCTGAGAGACAGAGAATAAGTGTAAGAGAGAAACACAGGATTCATAAAGCCGGAAGGACCTTCAGAGACACACAGAAACTGCTCAATTTACAGATGAAGAAACTAAAGGTCAAAGACCCTAGACCCTTGCTCAAATCTCCTAAGCAAATGGTATGGGCAAACCTGAAGCAAAGTCGCTTGATTTAAGTCTCCTGTAAGCACTTAGAGGTCCTACTGAAAGAAAGCTGGCAGGCCATCAGTCCAGAGAAGACCCCAGAATTCTATGGACCCAATGCTGCACCTGACCGTGCACCTTTCTTGTCTGGTCCAGGCTTAAACTGAAAACTCACCTGCTCAGAATACTGTCCTGCTTAGCCACTGTGTGTACACACACACACACACACACACACACACACACACACACACACACACACTGAGCCATCCTTACAAACTCTTGCAATAGAGCCTGACATAACCAAACAGGCAGGTCCCTAGCACACTGCAGAGTAGTATGTGACAAGATTCTGGCCATCCCAGAGACAGAGATACCATCTATATGGGGCAAAGAGATATGTCTGACATAATTGTACACAGGCAGAAGGACTTTTATGTCCTTTTCCAGTTAACTGACACCATATGCGATTGGCTCCCTATGTCTAGCCCTTAAGTACAAAATACTATAATCCCTATGGGTGATTCTGTGATGTGGCCCTGTTCTCTCAACCACACATCGAATAATATACTTGCTTACTTTAAGACACTTTCTGAAACTTGGCCTAAGGAGACCATGGGACTAAACCTGTAGTCTCTCCTCACTTACATCTGCATGGTTCAGGCCCTCTCCTCCATATACACCATCACGTCTTCAAAACAAGTAGCCTCTAAATAAAAGTGTGTTTCTGCCATATCTAGGGTATATCTATAAATACCATGTGCTACCTGGACATTTTCTGTTCCAATCTAGTGGCACAGTGCATGCCTGCCTCTGCAAGCCCATTGACACCGTTTCTAACTGTCTTTTTTCATTTGGAAATATCAGTGGTCACCTGCTCAGCCACCAGTTACCGCAAAGGGAGAACATACCCCACGTTCCCTATACTTGATCCTATCTCAGTGATCCCGTTGCAATCAGGCATGACAAAGCTAAAATGTGACAAAGTGAAAGGAAATCTGTAAATCATGGTCTTACTCACGTAAAGGCATCAGGAGAGAGTTTTTTGCAATGCTCATTACGTTAGAGTGCAAACATCCTCATCTCCTTCTCCACTGAGGGTGAATAATCACTGTTTATCTGTGTACAGGCAAAGCCAGGGCATGGGATTATGGGGATACGGCCTTGCTTCAGACCACAGACATTCTGCATCCACATAACCTCACCCACGTGTGACTTCTTGAGAGGCAAAGCTTCAAGTCATCCCTTTAACATAATGTGTGACAGAGCTCACTATCTTCCCTAGAGCCCCCCCACCAACACCTTAGCTCTTGTCTATTTCTAGTCACTAGAAACAACACTGTATTTCAAGGATACAACCCCTCCCCAATCAAACTGCCAAATCTTTGAACTGAGACTCAGTGCCATATATATATTTTTGAGGACCATGCTTCCTGGATTTTCTAGCAAGGTTGATTTCAAATATTCTGACTTACAAATCACTAAAATAATATTGAGGTTAAAATAAGATCACCACATAGATATATAACTTTATTCACTGTTTGACATCACTGCCCTCAATACTACAAAGATATCAAAACAGGGGTAGCTTTCTGGACCACTGACTACTACAATGTGTGTTCTATCCATTGCAGGAAAGTCCCACCATGCCAGTGAAAGCTGTAATACACATTTATCTATTCTCTAATGTCTGAAAATGTCACACCAACTGCCTTATAGACCAGATAGTTTATATAAGAACATTATTAGTGTCAATGCTGACTTACACTCTACAATCTCATCTGTGGTCCTGGTGGCATCCACACAGATAACATTAGTGTGAGTGACGTGTTTGTGTATTAACATAGACCTTGAGGGTGACTTTGTTCCAGTCTACCTTGCAGGCACTATAAGTGATCGGCTCCTGCTTACTCCACAGACACTGTGAGTGACCCAGCCCCTGTCTACACTAGAGCTGTTGGTCACCTGTTTGTCTACACCACTGACACTTGAGTAATGCTGCTCCCGTTGAACCCAAGACCCTACGAGTGACTCCATTCCTGTCCATACCACATAGCGACTGACCTCTCCAGACACCACAAATGACGTATTCCTGTCTATCCCACAGACACCACGTGTAACGTGGCCACGGAACCTCAGACAGACCGCGTTAAGGGCACTGATACACTCTCAGGACCTCTAATATATGAACACTCTTCTCTCTATTGAGAATCACTATATTCTGTTGATGAGAGGGATTCCTTTGCACTCCTCCTGATTTCTCTCTCCTCCCCACTAGGACCATGACATACATTCCTCCTGCATATCAGTCTCACCCAGAACTGACACGCCCTCATCCCATCTTCCCAGCTCCCCAGGACTCCTTCACTAGCCATGGCTTCACTTTTAGGCCCACAGATTGGTTAACAAATGACACCCATTTTGCTAAGGCCTATGCCAGGAACTTCTTCATGCTCCAAATGTGGATAAAACAAGACGTCTGAGACAGAGGCCACATCAAGAGCTTTTTAGCTGGAGCTGGGACCTCTGGATTAGGCCCAAGATGCAAGGCCAGACAGTGGAGTGCAGTAGGGGAGCAAGCTAGGGAGGAAGCTCGAAAGGAAAACCACCCTCTCTCATCTGTTTGACACACCCTTCTCTCTCAACCAGACAAGAGTCCTGGCCAGAGTTCACTTCTAGGTAGACAGGAGGGCAAATCTGTCTTTGGAACCCAAGATCCAGGAAGGGAAGAAAGGGACTGAGATCTGGAAATGACGTAGTATCACAACTGGCTCTCCTCCGGTAGTCTTGCCGGAAGGCAACTGCAAAAGATGCTCAGGGGTTCTAGAGCTCTGCGTCCGCATTCTAGCACCCCAACGCCTACCTCAGCCCCCAACTCTAAATAACTTCTTTCCACCTTGCTAAGAATGCAACGTTGTGATTCACATCAAGCTTTAGGAGGCTCCCCATATGTAGGGAACTGGGGTGAGGGGCAGGGCAGGATTCACTGTTCCAGGTTACGGAGCTTTGGTTAACACGGAGAGAAGCTACACATAGACTCACACAGTATGCAAATACCTATGGAGATACATAAGGAAAGGCCCCGGCCTGGTTAAGGAAAAGGAGCCGATAAAACCTCTCCAGGTAAGGAACAGCCTAGAAAGGGAATCTCAGTTATTCCTTCTGATATGGCTTAGCTTTCCCCAGGGCGCCTACTTTGAAGAAAGAGCCCTGATTATTGGCCCGGGGAACGTCTGGGGGCAGGGTGCCCATTTCCTAGGCGGGACCCGACCGGAAGCAAACTTGTAGGCAACAACATTTCCTCTAGTTCCTCTCCTCTTCCCCACCAGGGTCCTCAGCCACACACCCCGAGCCCTGCCTGCGGGCCCAGCCCCCCCATTTCCGGAGCCTGCGCCCCGGACCCAGCGGGGGCTGATCCCTGGGAAAGGCCTGGCTTCCTCTTCCTTCCTGTCCCTGCCCCACCTCCGCCGGGCTCCACAGCCGCCGGGAGCCCAGGGCCGAGACGGGAGGAGGGCACCCACCTGGTCGGTGTCACATGCTGCTTCGGCCCCAGCGTCCCCTCCAGGTCCCGGCGCCGGCCGCAGTCCCCAGAGCCGTCCCCAGCGCAGGCCCGGCCGCCCCACCCGCGGCCCGCCCCTGGCCGCCCGACGGGAGGGAGGGATCGGGTTCTCCTAGGAAGTTTCAGGTGAGGAAACAGGGACACACCTTCCCGGAGGAGGGGCAGGGCCCCTCCGCGCGCGAGCCCCATTGGTGTGAAAGAAGCTCCCGCGTCAGAGCTGGGAAGTGCCGGGCCGGCGGAGAGGGGAGCCCGGGCGCACGGGCCAGGCCGCGGGCTGTCCCAGGGAGCCCCGAGGGCGCGGTGCGCGGGCGCAGGTCGGGCGCAGGCGGGGTGACCCGGGGAAGGGGCGCGCACAGAGACAGAGGGAGCCAGCCGGGCCCCACGGTGTCCTCGGACGCCTCCGAAATCTCCCTGCGTGTTTGTTTCTTCGGAGCTTCACCGGAGCCTGACTCTGGAACCGGCCTGTCTGCCTGCTGCAGTCTGTATGTGTTTGTCTTTTGCCTTGGCCGTGCCTCTGGAAGTCTGACATCCGTGGTTGTACATGTGTCTTTATCTTCAGGCCTCATTGGTTTTTGGTTTGTTCGTTGTTGTTGTTGTTGTTGTTTTTTCTGAGACGGAGTCTCGCCCTGTTGCCCAGGCTGGAGTGCAATGGCGCGATCTCGGCTCACTGCAACCTCCGTCTCCGGGTTCAAGAGATTCTCCTGCCTCAGCCTCCCGAGTAGCTGGGATTACAGGTCCGCGCCACCATGCCCGGCTAATTTTTGTATTTTTTAGTAGAGGCCGGGTTTCGCCATGTTGGCCAGGCTGGTCTGGAAACTCCTGACCTCAGGTGATGCACCCGCCTCGGCCTCCCAAAGTGCTGGGATTACAGGCGTGAGCCACCGCGCCCGGCCAAGGCCTCAGTGTTGATTTCTCTTCCGTGATGTCTCCTCCTATAGAATAAAGAGTGTCTCCTCCATCTCCTCCTCCGCCCCCTTCTTCGTTTCTCTCTCTCTCTCCCTCCCTCCTCCCCCCTCCCTGTCCCTCTCCCTGCCTCTTCCTCTCCCCTCTTCCTTCTCCTACTTAGGGCCTAGAAGTGTGCCTCTCTGAAAGGACATGCCCGTGTCCTTCTGTATTCCCGAGTTTATTTTAGAATGAGTGCGTATCTCAGGGTGTATGTTCCTTCTAGGGCCTGTGTGTGTGTGTGTGTGTGTGTGTGTGTGTGTGTGTATTTAAATCTCTAAGCCCATGTTTGTGTGTTTTCTTATGCCTGTATTTTTTTTTTATTCTTTCAGGGAAACGTTTTGTTCTGTTAGTCTTGGAGGCCAAGGCTGAGTGGGTTTATCTCTGTGCCCCTCCAGTGACTTCAAAGAATGCCAAAAGTCTCTCGAGTGTGCCTGTGTGCACACACAGACACACACAAAGTAGGAATCCTTTACCTGGGGGACAGAGATTTCTGTTATTTTTGGTTGAATCTGACCACTCCCCAAAGCCATTCACTACTCCAGGGGTTTCCATGGTGACATAAGTCAAGTGAAATATTAATGGACTCCTTGCCTATTTAGCTCTTAGGAATGCCATGGTCTACAGCCCAAACAGCTTGGCTAGACCATTTCTAGATCACTGTGCCCATTGGCTGTTGCCAATGATCCTGGTTGAACGTGTTCACTAGTTATTTTGAGGTGGCTGTAGAATAGAATGTAATTAAGGAAGTATAGCCTCTTCTGTAATAGAGTCCTGAACAGCTTTATGTTAAAAAAGTGTGCTACTTCTGCCATGTTACTCTGAAGGATTAAGTCTTAAACAGTTCAGCAGTTTTCAGCCTACTCTAAGCTGCCATGGAGTGTATGGGAAACTATAGGAAAAATTGGGATTAAGACTCAAAAATCTGGATTAAGAAGGGCAGGCCTTGCATGTGTCCTAGGCTCAGCAAAAGGGTAAGAACTGGGAGTACAGAAAGGCAAAAAGTTCAAACTGGGACTGGCTCTACTTCTAGGCTGGAATACAAAACTCATTCCCAGGTATGAGAGGGTCCTTGATTTATACCGAGTGAGCAAAGTGAGTAAACTTCTGATCTAGGGCAGAAGCTGTTGACCTCTGGGTCGGGTGCGGTGGCTCACAACTGCAATCCCAGCACATTGGGAGGCCTTGGCCGGTGGATCACCTGAGTTCAGGAATTTGAGGCCAGCCTGGCCAAACATGGCGAAACCCCTTCTCTACTGAAAATACAAAAATTAGCTGGGCTTGGTGGTGGGCACCTGTATTCCCAGCTACTTGGGAGGCTGAGGCAGGAGAATTGCTTGAACCCAGGAGGCAGAGGCTGCAGTGAGCTGAGATTGCACCACTGCACTCCAGCCTGGGTGACAGAGTGAGACTCTGTCTAAAAAATACAAAAAAAAAAATTGTTGACCTCTGGCATATTTCATGCTGCCTACTGGGGGTGGGCAATGGGGTCAGAGGTACCAGAACTGCCTCCTGAACCAGCCTGGCTATTCTTTCTGCTTCCCTCCAGCTTCAGTTGGTTCTCCTTGATTACAGTGCTCTCTCTCTCTCTCTCTCTTCTCATCAACTCGACCTCCTCTTGTTCTGCCAGCTCTGACTTGTCAGCATATTTTTTTTTGAAGTCACAACCCTGGATTCTTGTGCGCTTGTCCAGAGAGTTAGCACACAAGGCTTTTCCTGACTTTTCAACTAGTAGGAAAGTTACAACCGACCATTTAGGGAGTTTGCTCTTCCCATCAAGCCTGTTCCTGTCTGCAGGGTGTATTTGCATGTGGAGGTCACTCTAGCTCTCCCAGGTATTCTTCCTTTCACTTTGCAGACTATGGTTCTCAGCATTTTATTATTTTTTTTCTTTTTCATTTCTTGCTGCGTGGTCTTGGTGACTGGGTTTCTTAATCAAGCCTGTCATCCCATCCTGAGATTTTGATATTTTATTTGGGCCTATATTTCCTCTATAAAGGCCTAGAGAGGAGAGAGAATGATGCCATGGAAAGAGAATGAGATTTAGATTCAGACAGGGGTAAATTTGAATCCTGCATTCCATTTACTTAATGTGAAATCTTGGGCATATTCACCTTCCTGTGCTTTCTCTGAATCTTCTTACGTTTCATTTCCCTAATGTCTTAATTGGGGATAATAATATGTAATGATACCTACGTCACTGGATTGTTGTGGTGATTCAATACTGTAATATATAGAAATCACCTTAGTATAAGTACCTGATGTGTAAAGGTGGTCAAGATGGGTTAGTTTCCTTTCCTAGCAGTGCCTGTCAGTGATGCATGTGGAATGAATATATTTATAAGAACAAAGTGATAGGGGCTGGGAACAGTAAATAGATTCAAAATAAAGCTATTTTAAAATGAAAGCCCTATTAGACGAGGCTGAATAAAAATAGCTTCTGGAACTTGGGACTACTTTAATTGACAATAATGCCTTTAAGATCAAGTTATGGGGCTTGGGGAGAGGCAGGGAACAATCCCGTATAGTTCTAGGTATCAGGACTAAAGGAATGACAATGACCTTTTTTGAAGCAGGAACTCATCAGCATTATCCCTGGGGCTGTCATTGTCCTGACTAGATACTGTCATGGTGCCACTATCCCACATGACTGGCTGCATTGTTCCCACGTGGTGAACTCTCTCTGACTCTCAGCTGGTCCAGTGCTAGTTCTTGGAACACTCCTAAGGCCTTTCTGCCTCTGCTTTTTGCCTGATCCTGTGACCCAACATTGAACCTTTCGAACTGATTTTGAACTCAGTTCTTCTTTTTTTTGAGATGGAGTCTCGCTCTGTCGCCAGGCTGGAGTGCAATGGCGTGATCTCGGCTCATGGCTACCTCTGCCTCCTGGGTTCAAGCGTTTCTCCTGCCTCAGCCTCCTGAGTAGCTGGGATGACAGGCATGTGCTGCCACACCCGGCTAATTTTTGTATGTTTAGTAGAGATGGGGTTTCACCATATTGGTCAGGCTGGTCTCGAACTCCTGACCTCATGATCTGCCTGCCTCGGCCTCCCAAAGTGCTGGGATTATAGGCATGAGCCACCGTTCCTGGCCCCAGTTCTTCTGTTAATGGGGCTGACCGTGGTCTCTCCATTCATCTCTGTTGAAGCCAGGCTGGCTTGACCACTGTGGTTCTTAGCTATCTTCTTCTATTCTGTTTTTTTGTTTTATTTTATTTTATTTTATTTTTCAGAGATGGAGTCTTGCTCTGTCCAGCCCAGGCTGGAGTGCAGTGGCACGATCTAGGCTCACTGCAACCTCTGCCTCCTAGGTTCAAGTGATTCTCTTGCCTCAGCCTCCCCAGTAGCTGGGATTACAGGTGCGCACCACCAAGCCTGGCTAATTTTGTGTTTTTAGTAGAGATGGGGTTTCACTATGTTGGCTAGGCTCATCTCAAACTATTGACCCCAAGTGATTGGGATTACAGGCGTGAGCCACTGCGCCCAGCCTATCCTCTTCTATTCTGATGAGCATGGTTTTATTTTCTATCCTTGGCTTCCCCTTATTTATTTTCTCAACCTTTGCACATTGATTGGCATAAGCCTAAATTTAATGCCATTCAAGGCATACATACTAATTGCCTCATTCATTTTTTCTTCTATTCATTTACTCAGTATGCATTCTTAGAAACCAGATATACAAAGACAAGATCTCTGCTTTCAAGAAGCTCTCAATCTGATTGAGGAGAGAAACAGGTAGCAAATAATGGCAGCAGAGCATGGTAAGTGTTATGTTGAGATGGACACAAAGTACAATGGAAGCATAAAGGAGAGAGTAGGTGGCACTCCTTGGGGAATCAGAGAAGCCTGAATGGATAAGGTGGATTATATATATTTTTTTCTTTTTGAGATAGGGTCTCACTGTGTCACCTAGGCTGGAGTGTAGTGGTGCAATCATGGCTCACTGTAGCCTCAAACTCCTGGGTTTAGGTGATCCTCCCACCTCAGCCTCCTGGGGCTGGAACTAGAGATGTGTACCACCATGCACACCTGGCTAATTTTTGGTATATTTTTGTAAAGACAGAGTTTTGTCATGTTACCCAGGCTGGTCTCGAACTCCTTGACTCAAGCAATTCACTCACCTTGGCCTCCCAAAGTGCTGGGATTACAGGTGTGAGCCAACGTGCCCGGCGAAGGTGAGATTTGAGTTGACTTGTCTTTTAAAAATATTCTGTTACTGGCCGGCATGGTGGCTCATGCCTTTAATCCCAGCATTTTGGGAGGCCGAGGCGGGGGATCACGAGGCCAGGAGATTGAGACCATCCTGGCTAACATGGTGAAACCCCGTCTCTACTAAAAATACAAAAAAAATTAGCCGGGCTTGGGAGACTGAGGCAGGAGAATGGCGTGAACCTGGGAGGCAGAGCTTGCAGTGAGCCGAGATCGCACCACTGCACTCCAGCCTGGGCGACAGAGCGAGAATCTGTCTCAAAAAAAAAAAAAAAAAAAATTCTGTTAACCTGGTATAGAGGAGGATATAGGAAAAGCATACCAATAGCAGAAGTGAAATATGCAAAAATACAAGCCTGAGCACCCTCTGTTCAGGGATGTGCAAATAGTGTGGGTTTAACATGAGATGTGGTGAAGAAATGGCAGAGAATGAAGTTGGAAGGGTAGTCGGGCAGCCAAATCATGAAAGGCCTTGTAGGCCATTCCTGCTACTGAGTTTGGACTTCATCCTTCTGGGGATAGGCCTCCTTGGAAGGGTTTCAAGCAAGGTCATGATGAGATCAGATTCTAAGGTTAGATTTAGAAAAAAAAGCTCTGGGGGCAGTTGAGAGAATGGACTGGTGTGGATAGTGAAGTGGAGGGGCAAGGAAGGCAATCAGCTGTTGTAGCAATTAGATGGATATTGTAGTCATGGAGGTAAGAAAAGAAGACACCTTGAACGAATGCAGGGGCAATGGGAAAATAAGACAGGGAATGGATTTTAGTATTGTGCTGACTGTTTTTTTTTTTTTTTATTTTATTTTTTTATTTTATTTTTTTTTTTGAGACGGAGTCTCGCTCTGTCACCCAGGCTGGAGTGCAGTGGCGGGATCTCGGCTCACTGCAAGCTCCGCCTCCCGGGTTCACGCCATTCTCCTGCCTCAGCCTCCCAAGTAGCTGGGACTACAGGCGCCCGCCACTACGCCCGGCTAATTTTTTTGTATTTTTAGTAGAGACGGGGTTTCACCGTTTTAGCCGGGATGGTCTCGATCTCCTGACCTCGTGATCCGCCCGCCTCGGCCTCCCAAAGTGCTGGGATTACAGGCGTGAGCCACCGCGCCCGGCCGTGCTGACTGTTTTTTGAAGATAAAATGATCAAGTCAGATTTGAAGAATTGACTGTTGGAGGTGAATAAAATGATGTCCTCTCTGAGTACTTCTCTGTTTGTGAGAGGACTCCTTGAGGAGTTCTGCTCTTGATTTTGCAGGGGCTGCCTCTAGAGCTCTGTGTTTTATTTGCAGAAAGAAGCTCAACTATTAATACTTTGCTGCTTGCTTTGAACTTGCATTTCACAGCCTGGCCCTTTTTTTTCTCAATGTTGCTACTTTGCTTTCAAGATGTAGAGGCCTATTGGCCAGATAGACACATCAAAGAGCCTTGCCTAGGAGTTTAGTCACAGCTGTCATCATTTGTGTCCAGGAGCCATGGGCTTCAGCTTGCCTGGTTTGATCGGCACTACCTGTTTTTCTTTTTTTTAATCAGTAGTGGTAAGAGTGGTAAGATGGGTGGTTCTGGGAAGGGTTACTGAGGAAATGGTCTGTTTTGCTTGTAAAAAGAATGTTTCTATTAACTCAGACATTTAGAAACTCACTTATTCTCAGAGATATTAAGTCATGGGTGTAGGAAAAGGATGGGAGTTTAAGAAGTGAAAGAGACCACCTCGACCTGAATGAATGAATGAATTGTGAATTTTTAATAATTCACAGTTGTGTTCACTTGTGAATTATTAATAATGTATATAACAACTAAGTGTGCGGAGGGTCTCAACGTATAGTTTGTGGATGTGCGGGTGATCCGGCTGTGACATCTGCCACACCATAGATCAAAGTGTAGTTTGTGGTACACCTGCATTGGAGTCTCCAATTCGCTTTGTGAGTCATTCTTTTTTTTTGAGATGGAGTCTTACTCTGTTGCCCAGGCTGGAGTGCAGTGGCATGATCTTGGCTCACTACAACCTCCGCCTCCCAGGTTCAGGCAGTTCTCTGCCTCAGCCTCCTAAGTAGCTGGGGTTGCAGGCGCCCGCCACTACGCCTGGCTAATGTTTTTGTATTTTTAGTAGAGATGGGGTTTCACCATACTGGCCAGGCTGGTCTTGAACTCCTGACCTCGTGAACCACACACCTCAGCCTCCCACGGGTCATTCTTAAGCACAGTAAAGCTTAGGACTCAGGGTGTTCCAGCTTGTATAGAAGGAAGAAGTACAGTGGACTGCAATGCCTGCTTTAAGGATATTAGGGAAACAAGAAAAGAAACTTTTGTGCCAGGCCACTGGGTATAAAGTTTTATGACCCGAGGATGGAAGGAAATTAGAAACAGGGATTGTAAGGCCAACAGGGAGAAAAGCAGAGCAAGTATTCAACAATTTCGTTAGACAGTACATGTAATCAGTTGTAGTTTAACACTGGACATGCATGTGTGATGTAATTTTTGAAGTTATGAAAGTGTAAGCAATCTTTTGTTCCGAGTTTACCCCTGGATGCTGTGGGCAATGAGGGATGAGCCTGGTGCAATGAAGAAGTAAATTGCTGCACAGCATGGTGCCTCAGGCCTGGAGCTCTTCACATCCTTTAGAGCTGGATTAAGAGATGCTGTGTTAGCTCCAGCAAAGGTCACTAGGAGTCTTTGGGTTAAATTTTTTTTTTTTTAATCCACAAATTCTTGTAGTTCACTGAACTTCTTTAAGAGGAGGAAAGCCCAACTTGGGGTCGATAAATGGTATAGTAAATATTTGTTCAAGTTCTAAAATGGACTATCATTTTAAAGAGTTGATTAGCAAAGTTGAAAATACCTGATATTCTCTATGGTTTGTATCTGTGGGAGATGTTTGGTGGAATGGTCAGGAGGAAGAGATGGAAAGAGTGCCATTGCCTTAAAAAAAAAGAACAGCCCTGGCCGGGTGTGGTGGCTCACGCCTGTAATCCCAGCACTTCGGGAGGCCGAGGT
Organism: Homo sapiens; assembly: GCF_000001405.40. Lineage (NCBI taxonomy): Eukaryota > Metazoa > Chordata > Mammalia > Primates > Hominidae > Homo > Homo sapiens. The sequence goes on from NC_000007.14 coordinate 144,203,708, forward strand.
GGGCAGATCACCTGAGGTCAGGAGTTCAAGACCAGCCTGGCCAACATGGCGAAACCCTGTCTCTACTAAAAAAAATACAAAAATTAGCCAGGCTCAGTGGCTTGCACCTGTAATCCCAGCTACTCGGGAGACTGAGACAGGAGAATCGCTTGAACCCAGGAGGTGGAGATTGCAATGAGCCGAGATTGCACCACTGCACTCCAGCCTGGGCAACAAAGCAAGACTCCATCTCAAAAAAAAAAAAAAAAAAAAAAAGAATAGCCTCTTACCAGCTCTGCTGGGTTCTAAAAGATGAATAGGTTGCCTACCCTGATGTCAAGGAGCTCACAGTGTAATGGATGTGACAGATGAACAACAGTGTTGAAGTGCAGTGCACTTTATGCTAGAGGTGCCATGGGAGTTTGGAGGAGGAAAAGATTATCTTGTCGGTGAGTTTATAAACCAATGCCAAAGTGATGATGCCTCTGTGTGATGCTTGTAGGTCAGCAGTTACACCATCACTCTTCCTAAGTCTCTAGACTAGAGGCTCATATTTTTCGAATCTCCTGTACAAAGACATTTTTAACTTGAGTGCATATATCATAGAAAAATATGTATACTTCCAAATCTCATTCAGTTGAACATTTCCAAAACGTCTGGTACATAATGTCTGAGAATGCCCAGGTCCTCCTGGAGGCTGGTTATAGCTATGGTGAGGTGTTGCAGTCATGAAGAGGGAGTGGGTCCTTGCCTGCCTGCCCTACAGTGAGCAATCCCTAGAAGCGCTGTTATTCAGGTTGTCTTGCTTTTTGTCTTTTGAAATGTTTGGATTTGGGATGTTTTGGAAATTTCCCCATCCAAAATTTTTGGAAGATAGGGATGGGGATGGGAATGATCCCTGTTCCTTATTTTTTATTTTTATTTTTTTGATACAGGGTCTCGCTTTGTTGCCTAGACTGGAGTGCAGTGGTGCTATCATGGCTTACTGCAGTCTCCACCTCCCAGGCTCAAGCAATCCTCCCACCTCAGCCTCCCGAGTAGCTGGGACTACAGGTGCACACCACCATGCCTGGCTAATTTTTGTATTGTTTTGTAGAGATGGGGGTCCCACTTTGTTGCCCAGGCTGGTCTCAAACTCCTGGGCTCAAATGATCCACCTGCCTCAACCTCCCAAAGTGCTGGCGAGATTACAGGCGTGAGCCACTGCACTCAGCCAATTCCTGTTCTTTTGAAATGGAGTCTCGCTCTGTGGCCCAGGCTGGAGTGCAGTGGCATGATCTAGGCTCACTGCAAGCTCCACCTCCCGGGTTCATGCCATTCTCCTGCCTCAGCCTCCTGAGTAGCTGGGACTACAGGCGCCCGCCACCACGCCCGGCTAATTTTTTGTATTTTTAGTAGAGGCAGGGTTTCACCGTGTTGGCCAGGATAGTCTTGATCTCCTGACCTCATGATCCTCCCGCCTCAGCCTCCCAAAGTGCTGGGATTACAGGCGTGAGCCACCGCGCCCAGCCCAATTCCTGTTCTTAAAGAGACTATAACCAGTAAAGTTCATTTAGTGGAGTTCTGGCTCTACTGTATTTGTTACCAGAAAGAGGTTCTGGTCCCAACCCCAAGGGAGTGTTCACGGGCCTTGCACAAGAACGAATTTGGGGCAAGCCCGTAAAGGGAAAGCAAGTTTATTAAGAAAGCAAAGGAATAAAAGAATGGGCTGTTCGACTGAGTATACTTACAGTTATTTCTTCATTATATGCTAAACAATGGGTGGATTACTCATGAGTGTTCCAAGAAAGGTACAGGCAGTTCCCAGAACTGAGGGTTCCTCTCCACTTTAGACCCTATAGGGTCTAAAGTTCAGACACTGCCTGGCATTTTTAAGTTGTCATGGCACTGGTGGGAGTGTCTTTTCGCATGCTAATGAATTATGAGTAGCATATAATGAGCAGTAAGGATGACCAGAGAGGTCACTTTCATCACTGTTTTGGATTTGGTGGGTTTTGGCTGGTGTCTTTACTGTATCCTGTTTTATCAGCAAGGTCCTTGTGACTTGTATCTTGTGCCGACCCCTATCTCATCCTGTGACTAAGAACGCCTAACCTCCTGGGAATGTAGCCCCATAGGTCTCAGCTTTGTTTTATCAAGTCCCTATTTATGATGGAGTCACTGTGGTTTGAACACTTCTGACACAGTGGCTCCCAAACCTGGCAAATCAGCAAAATTTCCTTAAAATCCATCTGTCTATCAATCAATCTATCTATCTATCTATCTATCTATCTATCTATCTATGAGACAGAGTCTTGCTATGTCGCTTAGGCTGGAGTGCAGTGGCGTGATCATAGCTCACTGCAGCCTTGAACTCCTGGGCTCAAGCCATCCTCTCACCTCAGCCTCCCTGGTAGCTGGGACTACAGGTACACACCACCATGTACAGCTAATTTTTAATTTGTTTGTAGAGATGGGGTCTCAGTACTCTCTATTTTCCCAGACTGATTTTGAACCCCTGGCCTCAAGGGATCCTCCTCCCTTGGCTTCCCTGGGTGCAGAGGTTACAGGCATGAGCCACTGGGCCTGACTGTTGTTTGTTTTTAAGATGATTATGATTAGGATGAGAAGCCAGGTTTAGGAATCCTGATAGAAAAGCAGTGGTTCTTTAGCAGAGGCTTCCATCATAATCATCTGATCAGCATTCTGAATTTGCCATTGCCCTAAACCCACGGAGTTTTAATTCTGTAGGTTTGGGGTCAAACAGAACTATTTGAAAATAGCTCCTTGCTGATTTGGATGCCTAATAATAGTGGAAACTCTCTGACCCACAGCAGTGATTTTTAAACATCTTTCATTCTACCTCCTGTCAATAAAAAAATTTTGAGCAGGCATTTCCCCAGTATATGCATGTTTTATTTATTTATGAATTATATATGTGTACTTCTGTATGATATGCAAACACAGATGTTTTAAAATAATGAGGTACAAATAAATGTCATTGAAAGCTCTAATATTTTTATCTCGTTCCCCCAGTGGATACACTGAGGATCCCATTGTGTAGAACATTGAGAGAAAGAACAGGGCCAGTGGTTCCATAATTGACCCCAACTCTTATTTAGCTGCTACTATCACGGGTAGCTGTCTGAAACAGAATCACTGGTTCCCACCCCAACCAAAGCACTCCTACTCCATTCCTTAATTTATGCAGTCATTCAACACATGTATAGGTTTAGCAGACCTAATCCCCAAATCTCAAATCCAAAATGCTCCAAATTGTGAAATATGATACTCAAAGGAAGTGTTCATTGGAACATTTGACATTTGGGATTTTTGGACTTGGGACGCTCAACTGGTTAAGTACCTGCAAATATTCCCAAATCCAAAGAAATCCAAAATCCAAAACACTTCTGGTCCCAAGCATTTCAGATAAGGGATACTCAACCCATATTGTGCAAAGCGTTGAATGAGGGGCTAGGGATATAGTTGTGCACATGGTCTTTGATCTCAAGGACCTAGGTTATGCCCGCATAAACATTAAACAAATGATTACTTAATAATAAATTACTATAATTTTGATGGATGCTAAAAAGTGTGAACTCAAAAGTACCTGAGATAAGTCTCAAAGAAAGTTTAGAAAGTTTATTTTGCCAGAGTTAAGGATATACCCATGACAGGGTTTCAGGAGGTTCCGATGACGTGCCCGAGGTGGTCAGGGTACAGCTTGCTTTTATACATTTTTGGGGAGACATAATACATCAATCAATACATGTAAGATTTACATTGGTTCAATCTGGAAGGGTGGGACAATTTGAGGGCGGGGGTAGGAGGGCTTGCAGGTCATAGGTAGATTTATAAATTTTCTGATTTGTAACTGGTCAAAATAATTATTATCAATAGGAATGTCTGGGATATGTTAAGGGGTTGTGGAGACCAAGGTTTTATCATGTAGATGAAGCTTCCAAGTGGCAGGTTTCAGAGAGAATAGATGGTAAATGTTTCTTTTTTTTTTTTTTTTTTTTGCCAGGTCATTCAACATTTATTCAACCAAAAATACTAAGTCAGCTCTATACAAACTAATGGAAGGATACAGCTATGCAAATATAGAACACTAAAGTGTTACATGACAGATGTATGAGGTAGGTATTATTTTCATGCGCGTCCGTGTGAAGAGACCACCAAACAGGCTTTGTGTGAGCAACATGGCTGTTTATTTCACCTGGGTGCAGGCGGGCTGAGTCCGAAAAGAGAGTCAGTGAAGGGAGATAAGGGTGGGACCGTTTTATAGGATTTGGGTAGGTAAAGGAAAATTACAGTCAAAGGGGGTTTGTTCTCTGGTGGGTAGGAGTGGGGGTCGCAAGGTGCTCAGTGGGCAGGAGTGGGGGTCGCAAGGTGCTCAGTGGGGGTGCTTTTGAGCCAGGATGAGCCAGGAAAAGGACTTTCACAAGGTAATGTCATCAGTTAAGGCAAGGACCGGCCATTTACACTTCTTTTGTGGTGGAATGTCATCAGTTAAGGTGGGGCAGGGCATATTCACTTCTTTTGTGATTCTTCAGTTACTTCAGGCCATCTGGGCCTATACCTGCAAGTCACAGGGGATGTGATGGCTTGGCTTGGGCTCGGAGGCCTGACATTCCTGCCTTCTTATATTAATAAGAAAAATGAAACAAAATAGTGTTGAAGTGTTGGGGTGGCAAAAATTTTTGGGGGGTGATATGGAGAGAGAATGGGCGATGTTTCTCAGGGCTGCTTCAAGCGGGATTAGGGGCGGCGTGGGAACCTAGATTGGGAGAGATTAAGATTTTAGTTTCCTGACTCCGGACATGTTGAGTAAAGCTAATTTGCCAGTCCTGGGTGGGGGCAAATCCTCGAGCTTGCTGTGTAGGGAAGGAAGGGGGCCTGAATAATCCCTGAGGAATAGTAGAATAGCAGATGGAACACTGAGAAATTATTTCCTTGAGGATAGATTTCCATGATGGAAAGGAAATGAGAGGTTCTGAAAGGCGGGCTAGTGGCTTGTACTATAGCATAGCCTGCCTTTGCTGGTGTGTGGCGATTAGGCCTGGTGGAGCTGCCATCAGTAAATGAAGCGTGATCAGGGTGAGGAACAGGAAAGATATGGTAAATGTTTCTTATCAGGCCTTAGGTCTGTGTTGATGTTAGTGCCGGTCGGCTCTTCCTGAATTCCAAAAAAGAGGAGGGCATAATGAGGCATGTCTGACCCCCACTTCCATCACAGCCTGAAACAGTTTTTCAGCTTAACTTTGGAATGCCTTTGGCCTAGAGGAGGTGTCCTTTCAGATGGTTGGGAGGTCTCAGAATTTTGTCTTTGATTTCTGAAAGTATATATATATAAAACCTGAGAATGACCTCTTCTGGAGGGTTTGAGAAATCTGTAATTTGGAGGCAGGAGTGTCATTGAAGGAAAGCTAGAAAATTTCAGATCTGGAGGACAGAGGTGGAAATCCCATAGCAGAAGATGAAACTGAAGATGTGAGCAGAGACCAGGGATCACGTGGGCCTAGTAGACCATGTTAAGGAATTTGATCTTTATTTTGAGGGCAAGGTAATCCATTGAAGGATCTAAGGGAGAGTGACAGGGCCAGATTTTCATCTCAAAAAGATCACTTAAAGGTGCAGCAAGTTGTATCAATTCTTTCCCTTCTTTCTCTTTTTGAGATAGGGTCTCATTCTGTCACCCAGGCTGGAGTGCAGTGATGTGATCATGGCTCACTTCTGCCTCAACCTCCTGGGCTAAAGCCATCCTTCTACCTTGGTCTCCCCAATAGCTGGGACTACAGGCAGGCACCACCACACCTGGCTCATTTTTAATTTTTTTTGTAGACATGGGGTCTCACTATGTTGCACAGGCTGCTGTCAAACTCCAGGGCTCAAGTGATCCTCCCACCTCAGCCTCCCAAGGTGCTGGGATTGTAGGTATGAGCCACTGCACCCAGCCTATTCTCTCCTTTCTTATCTTTTGCTTGTATTTAGAAACCTTTGCTTTTACAGTTGCCCTCAGATTACACTCCCCTTTTCCCTACTTTCTATGAACTCTTACAAGTCCTCCAAGATCCATCTCTGTTGTTACCTTCTTGGTGAAGCCTTTTCTTATTCTCTCCTCCAAACATCCACACTCTTTAGAGCTAATGTATTTTATGTATGTATTTTTTAATTTATATGGTATACGTGCTGCTGAAGCGAGCACTAGAGCTAATCTCTATAAAGGCACTTTGTAGGTTTTATTGCAGTGTACCTATTTTGGTAAATTGGGGGAGGACAGTTGCAGAAAATAGAATTCCTTGAAATCTTCATGGCACGGTATCATTTGGTTTCTTTGGTTTGTTCAAGCTCCTGCCTTAGTTTACTTATTCCTTTCTTATTATAACGAATTCTGCACTGTTTGTATGTGTTTTTAATTTACATAAATGCTGTCTTTTATCGACTTTACACTTTTTACTTTTTAAAATTAGGACGAGTTTTAAACATCTACTCATTTTCCTTTGTGTATCTGTAGTCTTTTGCTTCTAACCAGTGCTTTTGTTCCACAGTCTGAATTCATCATATTTTACCTATTCTCACTTTCAATGGTGGCCACCCAAATCCTTTCACCTTCCCTGTATCACAAACGATGCTGTAATGGGCAGCCTTGTATACATCCTTTACGGACCTGTGTGAGAATTTCTGTGGGATGTGAACATCCAAGATCAGAATTCTGGGGTTGGAAAGCGATGGTGTGCTTATTTAGCCAGATCCTGGCTGTTGCTCCCTCGAATGGCTGCACTGACTGTGTGTTCATCACAGTGCAAGAGTCTTTGTAGCCCCATGTCCCCAACAACACTGGGCATGTTTTGATCAGTTGAGTAGCTTCAAAGCGGTATTACACTGCTGTTTAATTTTCATTTCTCTGGTTACTAGTGGGTTGAGGATCTCAGTAAATTTGTTGTCATGTGATTATTCACATTGCCTATCATGCCTTTGTCTACTTTTCTGTTGAGTTACTCTCATTTTCCTGTTGCCTTGCAAAACTTTCTTGTATCCTTGCAAAACTTTCTTGTTGCCTTGCAAAAGCCTAGGTGGAAGGATGGCTTGAGCCAAGGAGGTTGAGGCTGCTGTGAGCCAGGATCATGTCACTGTACTCCAGCCTGGGTGACAGAATGAGACCCTATCTCAAAAAGAAAAAGAAAAAGAAGAGAAAGAGTAGATACAGTTTGCTGCACCCTTAGGTGATCTTTTTGAGTTGCAAATCTGGCCCTGTCACTTGTATAATCTCAATGTTAGTTATCTGTAAGTTTTAGATATTGAAAACATTGTCTCCTAGTAATCTGAACAGAAATGTGTAACAATTTTGCCACACATTAATTCTTCTATATTATCTTAACAGCTTTATTTTCCATCCTGAGTCTGTTTTTTAGTCTAATGATATTGAGTAGATACTTAATTATGTCAGTCTATTATGTCAGTTTTTAAACTCCAATGTTCATCTTTTCTTGATTTATGCTACCAACTTTATTATGTATTACATTCTTATAAGTAGATGAGTCTGTTTCTGACGCTTGCCCTCTGTTCTGTTCTACTTGTCCATTTAAATGTTCTTGCTTGAAATTGTTTCTATGACAGTGGCTTTGTAGTACATCCATGGATTTGGTTGGGACACTCCCTCCCCTACTTCTACTTTTCTCCTCTTTCTCAACGTTTATTTAGTTATTTGTGGACCTTTATTTTTCCATGTAGATTATAGAGGTTTTCAGAGATCCTCAGAAAACCCAACTGAAATCTTACTTGAGGTTAATTTGGGGGAGAATTGAGATTTTATGATAATAAACCACCCTTCCCAAAAGTATAGACTGTCTCCCCAATTATTCTTCTCATCTTATATGTTCTTTAGACTAATTTAAAACTTTTTCTTTATTTTTTTATTAAATAAGGTTATCAATACTTTATAGATTTTTATGCTATTGTGAATTAGATCTTATTTTTGAATTCTGTTTTTCTAGTGAGTTTTCCTTGTCTAGAGAAATGTTCTTGATTTTAATTTATTCGCTATGCTGTGTTTCTCAAGAGCAGAGGCTGCATCTTTCGTCTCTGTATTCCCAGTGTTTAAAACATTGCATGGTAAGTGATCAATGAATGTTTGTTTGTTGAATGAATGAATGAATGAGCAGGATACATAAAGCAGAATGGGCTGCTATGATATTTGGGTCCATATAGAGGCTTCATGGCAACATCCACGACAGTTCCAGTAGACACCCCACCACAAGGACCAAGGGAAGGGGCAGCCAATTCCTTTACATGGCTATCTTCCTCGGTGTGATCAATTAATTCCCCAAAGTGGCTCAATTAGCCTTAGTTGGTACCCTCCCCAGTTTTCCTCAGACCACATAGATGTTTTTGAACATAGCTTTTTGCTATTTACTATGGCTTCTTCTGGACACCCACTCTTAGCTCAAATTTACACATGCATTTTGGAAGCCTTCACTGCCAGAGTGGTGGTCAGACTAAAAAGCTTGACTTGGGTCTCCAAGCCATAGTTATGAAGTACCATAGGATTGGTTGTCTTCCTGGTACTTTCTTCTCCTCAGAAATGAAGCAAGCACTTAGACCTCTTAACTGCTGATGAGCTGAGCTTGGATCCCTAAAAGCGGAAAAGAGAATTTGAATACCAAGACCCAGCTACCCTTAGGACTGGAGCAAGATTGGACACAGGTATAGGTGCTCTTGGTAATGTTAGACAAAGGCAAAGGCAACACACAAGGAAAGTTAGGCTTTTAAAATGACAGTTCATTTATTTTACAAAAATTGTACTGAGTGCAATATAAAGGCCTTTCACAGTCTGACTCCTGCCTTCATTCCCAGGCTTCCCCTTGGTCACTATCTTTTTCTGTCTCTACCATACATGCTTTGTGCTCAAGCCATACCTGATTGTTTGTCAAACCATTATATGCCAGTTCTTTTTTTATTCCTGGATCTTCCTAGACAGTATTCTCTGTGTCTAAAATGCTCTTCCTACCTTTCTCTGTCTATTTATCAAACCTCTATTAATTCTTTTCAATGATGAATTCATGTTACCTTATCTCTGAAACTTTTCCTGACTTCTCCAAGTAGAATGGTTATCTTTCATTCTGTGGCACCTTAACGTATTCAGTATAGCCTTCTGTTAGTACATTTTTAATGCTGTGATATTGTAACTAATTTATTTTTATTTTCTTGTCTGCTTATTTTCCATTGCAAGCTTCTTAAGATTTGGGACCATACATTCTCTATCTTTGTGACTGAAAGCTGAGCATAGCTTCTAGTATGCAGTAGGTGATCAGTTAGCAAATAATTGATTAAGTTGAACAAATAATTGAGTAAGTTCACCATGAAGAGAATGAGATTTTGATCCTATACTGGTCATGTGGTTCTAGAAAAGCAACTAATCTTTCTATTCATCTGTAAAATAAATTTATATATGTATTTGCTGAATTGTGAAGATGTTATATTAGTCATCTTGGGTTGCTGTAACCAAATCCCATAGGCTGGTTGGCTCAAACAACAGACGCTTATTTCTCACAGTTCTGGAGGCTAGTAAGTCCAAGATCAAGATGCCAATAGATTTGACTCATGATGGGGGCTCTCTTCCTGGCTTGCAGATGGCTGCCTTCTCATATTCTGCAGAGAGAAAGGTCTGGTGTCTCTTCCTCTAGTTATAAGGGCACTAATCCCATCAAGGGGGATCTACCCTCCTGACCTCATCTAAGCACAATTATTTTCCAAATGCCCCACCTCCCAATACCATTGCATTGAGGTTAGAGCTTCCTATGTGAATGGGAGGGTGGAGGAAAGAACACGAACATTCAGTTTATTACATATCTTATAAAATATTATGAATCTGGTTAAAGTATTTTCAAAGAAATGTTTTAACTATGGAGACCAGATGAGTGAACAATGAACCTTGCCATAAATATGACAGCAGAGAAAAAATGACTATCCTTGATATGGTTTGGCTATGTCCCCACCCAAATCTCAACTTGAATTGTGTCTCCCAGAATTCCCACATGTTATGGGAGGGACCCACGGGGAGGTAATTGAATCTGAAATGCTCTTCCTATCTTTCTATGCTTATTTATCAGTCCTCTGCTAATTCTTTTCAATGATTGATTCAATGATGAATTCCCATGCTATTCTCATGATAGTGAATTAAGTCTCACGAGATCTGATGGGTTTATCAGGGGTTTGCACCTTTACTTCTCTCTCGTTTTCTCTTGCCACTGCCATGTAAGAAGTGCCTTTTGCCTCCCACCATGATTCTGAGGCCTCCCCAGCCATGTGCAACTGTAAGTCCAGTTAAACCTCTTTTTCTTCCCAGTCTTGGATATGTCTTTATCAGCAGTATGAAAACTGACTAATACAGTAAATTGGTACCAGTGGAGTGGGGCGCTGCTGAAAAGATACCTGAAAATGTGGAAGCGACTTTGGAACTGGGTAACAGGCAGAGGTTGAAACAGTTTGGAGGGCTCAGAAGAAGACAAGAAAATGTGGGAAAGTTTGGAACTTCCTAAAGACTTGTTGAATGGCTTTGACAAAAATGCTGATACTGCTATGGACAATAAGGTCCAGGCTGAGGTGGTCTCAGATGGAGATGAGGAACTTGTAGGGAACTGGAACAAAGATGACTGTTGTTATGTTTTAGCAAAGAGACTGGTGGCATTTTGCCCCTACCATAGAGATTTGTGGAACTTTGATCTTGAGAGAGGTGATTTAGGGTATCTGGCTGAAGAAATTTCTAAGCAGCAAAGCATTCAAGAGGTGATTTGGGTGCTGTTAAAAGCATTTCATTTTAAAAGGGAAACAGCATAAAAATTTGGAAAATTTGCAGCCAGTTGATGCAGCAGAAGAGAGAAACCTGTTTTTTGAGGAGAAATTCAAGCTGGCTGCAGAAATTTGCATAAGTTACAGGGAGCTGAATGTTAATCTCCAAGACAATGGGGAAAATGTCTCCAGGGCATGTCACAGGTCTTCATGGCAGCCCCTCCCATCACAGACCCTGAAGACTAGGAGGAAAAAATGGTTTTGTGGGCCAGGCCCAGGGTCCCCATGCTGTGTGCAGCCTAGGGACTTGGTGCCCTGCATCCCAGCTGCTCCAGCCATTGCTAAAAGGGCCGAGGTACAGCTCTGCCCGTGGTTTCAGAGGGTGCAAGCCCCAAACCTTGGCAGCTTCCATGTGGTGTTGAGCCTGCAGGTGCATGGAAGTCAAGAATTGAGGTTTGGGAACCTCCATCTAGATTTCAGAAGATGTATGGAATCACCTGGATGCTCAGGCAAAAGTTTGCTCCAGGGGCAGAGCCTTCATGGAGAACCTCTGCTAGGGCAGTGTGAAGGGAAATGTGGGGTTGGAGCCCCCACACAGAATCCCTACTGGGGCACCACCTAGTGGAGCTGTGCAAAGAAGGCCACCGTCCTTCAGACCCCAGAATGGTAGATCCACCGACAGCTTGTACCGTGCACCTGGAAAAGCCACAGACCCTAAACGCCAGCCCGTGAAAGCAGCCAGGAGTGGGGACTATACCCTGTGAAGCCACAGGGGCAGAGCTGCCCAAGACTAAGGGAACCTACCTCTTGCATCATTGTGACCTGGATGTGAGACATGGAGTCAGAGGAGATCATTTTGGAACGTTATAATTTGACTGCCTCGCTGGATTTTGGACTTGCATGGGGCTTGTAACGCCTTTGTTGTGGGCACTTTCTCCCATTTGGAATGGCTGTATTTACCCATTACCTGTATCCCCATTGTATGTAGGAAGTAACTAGCTTGCTTTTGATTTTACAGGATCATGGGTAGAAGGGACTTGCCTTGTTTCAGATGAGACTTTGGACTACGGACTTTTGGGTTAATGCTGAGATGAGTTAAGACTTTGGGGGACTGTTTGGAAGGCATGATTGGTTTTGAAATGTGAGAACATGAGATTTGGAGGGGCCAGGGGCAGAATGATATGGTTTGGCTGTGCCCCCACCCAAATCTCAACTTGAATTGTTATCTCCCAGAATTCCCAGGTGTTGTGGGAGGGACCCAGGGGGAGGTAATTGAATCATGGGGGCCGGTCTTTCCCATGCTATTTTTGTGATAGTGAATAAGTCTCAGGAGATCTGATGGGTTTATCAGGAGTTTCTGCTTTTGTTTCTCTCTCATTGTCTCTTGCCGCTGCCATATAAGAAGTACCTTTTGCCTCCCACTGTGATTCTGAGGCCTCCCCAGCCATGTGCAACTGTAAGTCCAATGAAACCTCTTTTTCTCCTCAGTTTTGGGTATGTCTTTATCAGCAGCGTGAAAATGGACTAATACGATCACCCTCTTCTTTGTTCTCCTTTCTATTTCATCTCTAATTTTTTTTGGCATTTGGAGGGTGCTATACATTGCAAAAGTTGGGGACTCACTAATTCCACTGCTCACTGTATATCAAGGTAATCTGTCAGGGGTTTGGTTTTATATAAGAAACAAATGAGTCCCCAGAACATACAAGTTAAGATTATTCAATCAAGGGAGGCAGTCATTACCCTTTAACCTCTGAAAGAAAACTGCAAGTAGGCATCAAACTAACCCTGAGATGGGAGAGAGTAGAAGTTCCCACACCCAGTGAATTGTAGGACATTAGGTAATTATTGGTGGGAAGTAAATTTGAGTGGGGAACTGAATTTCAACTGACTTTTATCCTTGAAGATGGTGCTTCTATTTTCTCAAATTAGAAGGTTATGAAAATTGCATCTGAACAACAAGTTGTATTAGCATAAGTTCTAGAAGAAACTGAGAAAGCAAGGCTAGTCTGAGGAAAATTTATACCGCTCACATTTCCCTTCTGAATTGGAGAATAGAATTGAATAGCAAAATTGTAACCTACCTTTCAAAGATGCATTTTATAGTGAAGTATATTTTGTGAACTTTTATATCTTCTATTCTTATTTTTCTATTGCCCTATTTTAAAATCTATCTTGAATTTATTAAATGTATATGTCTCTGTTTATATATTTATGAGTAATATGGTAGTCTTTTTGGTATCAGATGAGAACCCAACACACACAAATACATACTGACACATACAAAGATGTTTATACTGCCTCTTACATCTGTCGGAAGAGAGAGGGTTCCAAGAATTCCTGTGATGAGGGCTTAAAGCCAAATATTTTTGTTATCATTTTATACATATATATTTTATTTTTTTTCTATTTGGGAGAAGCTAGAAAACACACATTACTTTTTTTTGTATCTTTTCTGTTTTAGACTAAAATCTGCTGCTATTCAAAGAATAAATTGTATCTTTGTGTATTCTGATAGACATAATAAGTAAGTTGTGTAAGTTATAAGTATGTATAAGTAAGTTGTATCTTTGTGTACTCTTCTTCTGATAGACATAATAATATAAGACAAACCCAATAACAGCATGCTGTTTATTTTGAACACAGAAATGTCTTTAGTTCAGCCTAACTCTGTCCTTCCTTTTTGCTGATAGAAAGTCTTCGGCCTCATCCCTCGTCTCACGTCCTTGATGCCTATTTCTTGAGGTGTTCCATCCACTGTCAAAGTCCCCAGTCAGTGATTGTTCTTAGGTATGAGTATTCTTTTCCATCCTAATCCATGTTATCCCACTTATCTTCCAAAAGGCATCCTCTACTCCTAGAGCAGCACAACAGGTTTCCTTCTCTACTCTTGATGGTGAGCCCAGAGTACCCTGTTGTCTCTGTGGCCCTAGGCTTCCACTTACCCTGCCCTTACCTCTGTGGCAGTGGAGAGGATATGGTAGCAAAAGAGAGCAGGAGTGATCCACCATGTCCAGTCATCCTAGGGGATTGGTTCCAAGGACCCTTCCCACCCCCTGCAGATACCAAAATCCCCAGATGCTCAAGTCTCTGACATAAAATGGCTTAGTCTTTGCCTATAACCTATGCACATCCTCCTGTACACTTTAAGACATCTCTAGATTAATAGCTAGTACAATGTAAATCCTATGAAAATAGTCGTTATACTGTGTTGTTTAGGGAACGATAACAAGAAAAAAAGTCTGTACATTTTCAGTACAGACACAACCATCCATTTTTCTTTCCTGAATTTTTTGATCCATTGTTGGTTGAAGCTACGATGTGGAGCCTGTGGATAAGGAGGGCTGACTGTACAGCTATGTCACATTTTTGACTGCCAAGGCACAGAGGCACAGAATAAAATAGAGAAAAATGGAGACAAGAATAAAGATGAGACCGGTGTAGTGGCTCACGCCTGTAATCTCAGCACTTTGGGAGGTGGAGGCGGAAGGACTGCTTGAGCCCGGGAGTTCAAGACCAGCTTGGGAAACATAGTGGGACCCTATCTCTATTTAAAATTTTTTTTTTCTTTTTGAGACAGAGTCTCGCTCTGTCACCCAGGCTGGAGTGCAGTGGTGTGATCTCAGCACACTGCAACCTCCACCTCCCAGGTTCAAGCGATTCTCCTGTCGCAGCCTCCCGAGTAGCTGGGACTATAGATGCCCACCACCACTCCCGGCTAATTTTTGTGTTTTTAGTAGAGGTGGGGTTTCACCATGTTGGCCAGGCTGATCGCAAACTCCTGATCTCAAATGTTCCACCCACCTTGGCCTCCCAAAGTGCTGGGATTACAGGTATGAGCCATCACGCCTGGACAGAAAAAATTTTTTTAAAGAATAAAGATGAATAGGAAGGGAGGTGCCATTCACTTCAGCAGAGACATCCTTCTATTTCCCTTGTGATGCAAATATTCCCACCTCTATGACTCTGTCAGGAGAGGGATACTGAAGATGTTAAAGTCATTAAAACAAGATATTAAAAAAAATCAGAACAGTTTAATCCTGTCCTGGTAGAGATGATCAAACAACTCCAAAGAGGTGATGACTTAACATATTTCTAGGTCCAAGTAGTGGCCAACCGGGGCCAGCATCCTCCCAGTCACCCAGGCTGCCAACCAAGGTGGCTGAATACTTGCTTGAGATTGCCAGCATTTGTGATATCATCACTGTGCATAATTTCAAGGTAGGATCCTCATTGCTGTGGGCTATAAAATGGACTCTGCCCACCACACCCCCCCGCCAACACTTGGCACACTTAGATGGAAATGGAAAAATGGTATTCTAAAACATTCTGTTGCATTATTATTTGTACCCCTAGGCAGGTGTGATTCATGTAGGACAGAGTGGCAAGGAAAGGCTCTATTGAAGGGGTGAGCCTTGAGCTGCCCCTGGGTGGAAGTGTGGGTGGCCATGGGAGCTGCATTTCCATGGTGGTGGGAGCTCTGGGCCACTCCTCAATCCCATGTCTGACACACACACACACACACACACACACACACCCACTCCTGATAGTAGGAAGAGCAGTATTTTGGACAAAGAGGAGGCTGAAGGCTGCATGACGCCTTGAGACATCAACTCAGGTATGTGTGGAGGTGGCGGAAAGTATTATTACCTGGAACAATCTTCACCCTTTAGGCCTAAATCAACCTCCACCTCCACCGGGACGTTTTTGCACAATGTGTTTCTTTGACAGACTCACCAGAGCGTATGCACATTTGGTTCTCCATTAGAAACATATTTTGTATTTCTAGTTCCTAAAGGAAATGTGAGTTTTGTACTTAGCAGAAGCTATAGCACCATCTTGTGGAAATAAATGCATTGGATCACAAGCTTGCTCTGAAAATTTTAGTCATCTTAAAAAAAAAAGTAAATCTTGATATGACTTCATAGCTCTAAATCACTCCTGGAATGCACAATCTATTAGTAGCAAAAGACTTCTCATATATTCTAATTGTATGAGGGTGGAGTTAGCATTCTCCACCAGCTGCAGCTTTCTTTCTGTTTTGCTTTCGAGGTAGGGTCTTACTCTGTCCCCCAGGCTGGAGTGCAGTGGTGTGATCATAGCTCAATACAGTCTCGAAGTCCCAGGCTCAAGCAATTCTCCTGCATCAGTCTCCCGAGTAGCATAGTGTGCCACTATACCCAGCTAATTTTTTGTAGAGATGGGGTCTCTCTATGCTGCCCAGGCTGGCACTGGCAACTTTCTTCTTTTTAGAATAATTACCGTACTTAGGATCCAATATTCTTCCCATCTCACTTGTTTTAGAATGTGTGTCCTCAGGTTTGGATTTTAATCATGTCCCGAGGGATCTTGCCTTCTAAATAAAGGAACACTCACTGGGTACCAATGTTCTTTTCTGTCTCCTCTGGTGAATCAGACACTTCTCTTCTTAATAGAGTTCATTGATAAAGGGCTTGGGAAAAGGAGGTCCCTTCATTATTGAGAATCTAAAGCATTGGATTGGGAGCCCACAGAAGAACTGGAACAGAGGCTGAGGCAGGAGGATCACTTGAGCCCAGGAGTTCGAGGTTGTAATGAACTGTAATCGCACCACTACACTCCAGCCTGGGTGACGGAGTGAGACCCCATCTCAAAAAAAAAAAAAAGTCCCTGGAAAAGGTTTTATTTAGAATCACGAAATCATTGAATCATTTAATAAATAATGAGTCTTTTTAATGTAAGTAGTATACCCTCCAGTGGAGGGGAAAAAATGCCCAATGTTCTCAACCTTTCTTATCCCTAGTTTGATCTGCATCAAACGTGGAATTGATGTAAAGCTTTGGGGCTTCACCAGGCTTCCCTCTGAACAGTCTCAGGCTTGATTAGAATTTAAGGCTGGTGTGAATTTTGCAAATTTTAAAGATCTATGTTTATCTTCAAGACATATTTTGAAAAAATTACACATTGACATCCTTCAAAAAAGCTAAAAGCACAGAAGTAAATGTCTGCCTCCACATGTTTCCCAGCTATCCAATTATCTTCTCTCAAGGCACCAATATTACAAGTTGTTTGTGAAATGCTTCCAAAAATATTTTGCACTTACAGGAAATATATTACATCAATGATAGTCCACAAAATATTTCAAAACTTGCATTTTTCATTTAAAAATATAGGTTGAAGATTGTTCTATATTAGCACATAGTTTCCTTATTTATTTTTCAGCTGTACAAGATTTTATTGAATGGGTGTAGTCTCCTGCTGAGGTTTTTCCCAGTAGTTTGGCAGTACAAACAATGCTGCAGTGAATAACCTTTACATCTGTTGCATAGCACACATGCTAGTCTACCTGTGGGCTATATTCCTGGAAGTAGAATTGCTGTGTCAAATGGTGCATTTGTAATTGTGGGAGACTTTGGCAAACTTTTCTCCATGCAGGTCATTTATACCAAATTACAGCAATGTATGACACTCCATGCCTCACTAACTGTATGTTTTTAAAACTTTTTTTTTTCTGAGACAGGGTCTCACTCTGTTGCCCAGGCTGGAGTGCAATGGCGTGATTACAGCTCACTGCAGCTTCGACTTCCCAGGCTCAAGTAATCCTGCCACCTCAGCCTCCCACAGGAATGCACCACTATGCATGGCTGATTTTTTACTTTTTGTAGACAGAGTCTCCCTATGTTGCCCAAGGTAGTCTTGAACTCCTGGGCTCAAGTGATCCTCCCACCTCAGCCTCCCAAAGTGCTGATATTACAGGCATGAGCCACCACACCCAGCCTTTAAAACTTTTTGACTTTGCTAATGTAATAGGTGAAATATTATATTTCAGTGGTTACTGTTGTCATTTTTGCAGTGTTCCTTTTATGAATTTGGTTATAGGAACTCAAATTTTTCATGAGGCCTGGTCACCTAGTCAGTTATCTTTCTCCAGAGCTATTTTGGCAAATACATTGATTTTTTTAAAATTAAGTTTTATGAATAGATATAAATGACTCAGATTTCAATCAGCTTTCAAAAATATTTTTTTTGTATTCTCCCTTTCCTACTTGTCCCCAGTAGTGGATTTACCATGAAGCTAGCAAAGCTTAAGCTTAGAACCCCTTCCAAGAGTCCCTTCCAAAGCTCTGAACTAATTTTGTATTCATACATTCACATTCTGTTTCTTAAAGAAGCTGCCCCAAATTGTATAAGCTTCAGGCCTAGATATGCCGCTGCTTGTCACCGTCTTCCCTGTTTTCAACCTCTCTCTTCCTAGTTTCTTCTGTATTCCTCTAGAATGACTTTATGCATATGTAAGCACATCTAGATAGAGTTTATCCACCCCCTTCCTTTTTTCTTGCTTTTCTGAATGGGTCTTGGAGATTTTTCAATGTAAGATCTAGAGACCATCCATATTGTTTACTGTTGGTTGATAATTTTATGGTATTCCATTGTATGAAGATACTGGTCTTTACTTAATCAGTCCTGTATTGGTGGAACTTAGTGGACATTTGTTTTGTTTGTTTTTTGCATTAAGAAAAGCTCCTGGCAGGTTTCAGAGACTTAAATGACAGCTAAAAATCTGGTGGGATTACAGGTTTCAGAAGTGACAAGGTTTAAAATAGATGAAATTGTTGGGGGAGCCCTAGCCTCCCTTCCTGCACACCCTCTTCAGGTATCTAGGACTCGAAGTCTTATCAAAACAGGACACTTATTACCTGCTAGTCACAACCTATCTATATGAACATATACATTGGCGTGGGAAGTTTGTCTGTGATTGTGAAACAAGATTGTCTTGCTAAAGACATTCTGAATATGTGAAGGCAGGAGGGAGAGATAATTGTAAGGCTTTGAGTGCCTCTAAAATCCTACTGGATAGTTGTTGGCTTCAAAAAAAGGCAGATAGCTTCTGAGGTCATAGTATTCCATCAGTGGCATTGCTACAGCCTGCTAACTGACTTTCATTGCCCACACGCTAACATTTTGTTCTGCTGTATCTGATGGGGAAGGGTTGAGCCACGCAGGCATGGAGTGCTAGATGTCTTCTGCATGCCAGAAGAGTTCATTACTTAGTATTTTAACCCTTCATTTACCTGATTTTATTTATTTATTTATTTTTGAGACGGAATCTCCCTCTGCCACCCAGGCTGGAGTGCAATGGTGCAATCTCGGCTCACTGCAACCTCTGCCTCCCGGGTTCAAGTGATAATTCTGCCTCAGCCTCCCGAGTAGCTGGTTTTACAGGCATGCGCCATGACGCCCGGCTAATTTTTGTATTTTTAGTAGAGATGGGGTTTCACCATGTTGGCAAGGCTGGTCTCGAAGTCCTGCCCTCAAGTGATCCACCCGCCTTGGCCTCCCGAAGTGCTGGGATTGCAGGCATGAGCCACTGCACCTGGCCTTTCATCCACCTTAGTCATCACTTCCTTTCTTCTCTTCCAGTTCAATGCAAACACCATGGGAAACACATTTGGGATAGCTGGAAATTCAGCCTGTTTATTCTCTCTACCCCCTTAAAGCATGGAATGGCTGATCTCCTATCACAACCCACTTTTTGAGAAGAAAGGATCATACACCTGTCTGATTTGGTTACCTCAAATCCAGTCCTATTGCCCAGTATTACCTTTTGTTCATATGTCCTTGTTTGGCTCTTTCCTAGAACTGCCTTCCCTGGGACTAAATTGTAGTGGGTTTTAGTTTAAGATACCACATTAAATTTTTTAAAACACTTTTAATATTTGTGGGTACATAGTAGGTGTATATCCTTTACCTCTTTTATAAGGGATCAGGTAAATAATACATAGAGAAAGTAAGGAAGGAGAAAACAAAGGTGAGAGAAGAGAATAGATGGATCTCAATGCTTCATGATTAAGAATAACTTTTAGTACTTCTTTTCAGCTTACAAAGTGCTGTGTATATTACCTTTTGTGAAGCTCACATTTCCTTGAAATAAATGGGGTGGTGTCTTATCACCATTTTACAGACAGGGAAGGAAAATTAGGATAAGGCTGATCATGGCGCACCTGAATCCAGGTTTATAGGATTTCCCAACATCTTGAGACTTGATGGTTCAGGGTTGACTTTGTCTGGGTCCCTCAGAAGGTAATCAGGGCAGTAGCAGTTTCAGAATGTTTGTACTGAAATGGGGGCTAGGGGATTTGTCTTGAAGCTCTATTTGGATTGTATTTCAGATAAAATTGAAAAAAAATCTACTGTCTGATAAAATTGAAAAAAATTCAGGTAAAATTGAAATATTCAGATAAAATTGAAAAAAAATTCTATGGAGGTGCTGATGATGGAGAGCTGTGGAGGAGTCCCAAGTCTCTTGGTCCCTCTACTTCTTTTGAGTTTTACTATTGTCCTGAAGAGGCAGAGAGCTAGAAACTCAGAACCTCTGATTCCCTGTGGCACAGGCTGCTAGATGTTTATCAGAATTGTTCCTCTTATGCCTGGGTATACAGACCACATTTCTCAGAATCACTTGCATTTTTTATTGCCATGGTGACCAAATTTTAGCCAATGGGATGTGAGCAGAAATAAAGAGTCCACTTTTGGGCCAGGTCACTGAAACTTTCATGCTTTGTCTCCCTCCAACACACATGACAATAATGGGAACCATGTGGAAATGAGGGCAGATCCATGAGGTGTAAGGACCCTGGGTCCCTGAATCACCAATTGATGGCGTGATGTCTGCTGGTCAGGAAAACCTCCTCTGAACAAGGAATGAACATTGGTTTACTGTAAAATTTTCAAATAATGCAATATTCTTTCCCATGGTTCAGTCTACATTTTGAGAGGTCTCTTCTTTAAGTCTTTAATGTGTATTATTTTAAACATTTTCCCATGCTTTAGTATATGTCTCTATATATATTCTCACACATACACATATCTATAGGTTTTTAAGTGAATGAGAAAGCACAGTATCAATATACTTTGTTTCCTCACTTCACATTTTGTGAAAATTTTGCTTATGGTAATATTAGTTTATATGTTAACTGTACATTAATATCTAATTAGATGTTAATATACTAGTAAAACTTATTTATATTAAGAGTTGCATAATATTTCATTGTATATATTTGCAATGTTTTATTTAATAACCTCACTATTGATATTAGGTTATTTATCAATTTACAAGTATTGCTTCTGCTTAAAATATATGTACATGTATATATTTATGCATATGGGAATATTTCTGTAGGATATGTTCTTAGAATTGAAATTGCTGCATCAAAAGGTATGCACATTTTATTTTTTGAGGCCGGGCACAGTGGCTCATGCCTGTAATCCCAGCACTTTGGGAGACTGAGGAGGGAGGATCACTTGAGCCCAGGAATTCAATACCAGCCTAAGCAATATAGACCCCATCTCTACCAACCAACAACAACAAAATTAGCCAGGCATGGTGGCTTGCACCTGTAGTTCCAGCTACTCTGGAGGCTGAGGTCGGAGGCTGTTTTCAGCTCAGGAGTCCGAGGCTGCAGTGAGCTGTGATTGCATCACTGTACTCCAGCCTGGGCAACAGAGTGAAACCCTGTCTCTGAAAAATCAAAACAAAACTAACAATTTAGTTTTTGAAGAGACATGACCAAATTTCCCCGAAATCTATTAAGACTGTGGGGAAGTATCCACTTGCCTACATGCTTAGCGATGCTAGAAAGTATCCATCTTTTAATTTTTGTCCATCTAATGGGTGAAAAATGGTATCTTGTGCTTTAAAATTTATTACTTACTAGAGGAACTATACATCTTTCATTACATTTATTATTCTCTGTCACTTGTTCTACTGTAAATAGTTTATCTGTCTCTACTTGTATCTATGTGTTTTTTTCCAATAAAAAACTGGTTTGTGTATTACTATTTTGCTTGTTATATATATTGGGGACTACGTTAGCTATATTTTAATCATTTTCTTAAAGCTGATTTTCTTTTCTTTGTGTGTGGTAAAGATGGTGGACTTTTTAAACGTTTTATTTTTTTCTGCCGGCTGCAGTGGCTCATGCCTATAATCCCAGCACTTTGGGAGGCTGAGGCGGGTGGATCACCTGAGGTCAGGCATTCAACACCAGCCTGGACAACATGGTGAAACCCTGTCTCTATTAAAAATGCAAAAAAGTAGGCAGGCATGGTGGTGGCCGCCTGTAATTCCAGCTACTCAGGAGCCTGAGGCAGGAGAAGCCCTTGAATCGGGAGGTGGATGTTGCAGTGAGCTGAGATTGTGCCATTGCACTCCAGCCTGGGCGACAAGAGCAAAACTCCATCTCAAAAATAAATAAATAAATAAATAAAATTAAGTAAAATAAGTGTTTTATTTTTTAATTGACAAAATTGTATAGATTTACCATGTAGAAAATGATATTTTGAAATGTATGTACATTGTGGAATGACTAAATTGGGCAAATTACCATATGAATTATCTAACACCCTTGTCATTTTTATGGTGAGAACACTTAAAATCTACTCTGTCAACATTTTTCACAATACAATCTATTGTTATTAGCTATCATCACCAAGTTGTACAATAGATCTCAAGGCTGATTTTCTTGATCCTTACTTAACTGTTCACAGAAAAAGATTCTGTAAGTCCAGGATAGAGGGAGGCCATATGACCCAGTGGTTATGGAGTCAGGCTCACCTGGATTAGAGTCCAAGTTATGTCAGATACTTGCTGTGTGACCATAGAAAAGTTTCTTACTATCTCTGAACCTCTATCTCTTCTTTTGTAATAATAATAATAAAAGTACTAGAATTGTTATGAAGTTGAGACATGATAATGATGCATGTACCTTAGCACAATGCCTGACATTTCATAAGCTCTCAGCAAATACTAGCTCTTAAAAGTATATCTACAATGTGGGTAATATGGGTACAAAACTAGATATTTATGTTTTAGTCTAGTTCCTAGAACCATTCCCAATCAAAGTTATTCCTAGTAATATTCTTTCCTTAAGGTGGGCATTTCGTGTTACCTTTTAGCCAGTCTTATGAAATTTCTATTTCCCAGAGCACTAAAATAGTCAACTAATTAATTACTTCAGTATGTACTATTTTTTTTCCTTTTCTGAAACAGAGTCTCCCTCTGTCACCCAGGCTGGAGTGCAGTGGCATGATCCTGGCTCACTGCAACCTCTGCCTTCCAGGATCAAGCGATTCTTGTGCCCCAGCCTCCCAAGTAGCTGGAATTACAGGCGCATGCCACCATGCCTGGCTGGTTTTTGTATTTTTAGTAGAGAAAAGGTTCATCATATTCGCCAGGCTGGTCTCAAACTCCTGGCCTCAAGTGATCCTCCTGCCTCGGCCTCCCAAAGTGCTAGGATTACAGGCATGAGCCATCGTGCCTGGCCAGTACGTATTTTTGGGATTCTACTGTATTTAAGGTCAGAGAGATTCAGTTAGCCTCAGAAGTCCATTTCATTTTCTCTGTATGGAATTTATTTTATACTCCTTTGACAAAAGTGAAAATCCAAATTAATATGAAATGTGAAGAAACTAATAAAGACAGGGAATTAGAAAACAAGAGGCGACCTTAAAGTTTTTCTAGTTCAATTCTTTATTTTATATGTGTGGAAATGGAAGTCCAGAGGAGTTAAGCAACTTTTCTAAGGTCACACAGTGTGTAAGTGAGGGAATTGTCGTGAGAGCCCAGACATTCTCATGCTGAGCCAGTATTCTGTTGACCAAATCATACCGTGTTCAAGGATTCACTTCTTCTTTTGGCACAACATGATTTCAAAAATTAAAAACAGAGAAACACAGCTTGGAAAAACACAGATAAAAATGAGCCAATGCTATTTAAAATTTATGAAGAAAGCAAGGGATGTAAGACACTTCTCTGCTGGCTGCGAAAACATGAGAGCTGTGAAGTCCAGTGAGACAGCATTCCAAATGTCTTTCCTTTTTGTCTATTCTCAAGAACCTGTATTTAACAATGGTACTCTACACTCACAGCCAACAGTAAACACCAGTCCTACAGGTCGGCAGTTGGCAATCCCTGGTCCACGTGCCAGAGATGCTGCAGGTGCCAATCTCAGGCGGCAAGGAAACTGACTACAACACACAAATTCCCATCCCTTTCATTCCCAGTAGTTATTGCCTACAGTTGTCTCCACCCTCTTGCCAGAGTTTTCAAGATCAACACCCTGACATGACTTCCTGTGTAGCACCAGTACCATCCTGGCCTTCTGGAATCACAGTTTCAGTCATTTGGCACACTTCTGTGAGAAGGCAATCGCCATGGACTCCTACGATAAAACATAAATAAGTATTCCCAGCATTTTTAATAGTAAATGCTAAATTTCAACCCTAAATTGTTTCTTTTCTTCTCTGTGATCCTAGAGCAATAGGATATTCTTGATTATTAATATCTACTGCATAAGAATATGCCAAAAGGATGAATTGGACAAACCAAATGCACAAGATATCCAAACTTAAAAGAATAGGCCAGGCACGGTGGCTCGCGCCTGTGTTCCCAGCACTTTGGGAGGCCGAGGCGGGTGGATCACCTGAGGTCAGGAGTTCGAGACCAGCCTGGCCAACATGGGGAAACCCCCTCTCTACTAAAAATACAAAATTAGCCAGGCATGGTGGCCCACGCCTGTAGTCCCAGCTACTCAGGAGGCTGAGGCAGGGGAATCACTTAAACCTGGGAGACAGAAGTTGCAGTGAGCCAACAACTGCACTCCAGACTGGGCAACAGAAGAAGACTCCTTCTCAAATAAATAAGTAAATAAATAAATAAATAAATAAATAAAAAGAATAAAGGGTAACACATCCCTAGGCCTATATGATGTGAGTAGAAATTTGAACACAACCACTCATTTGTTCATTTAGTCAAAGTTTATTGAGTGTCTACTATGAACAGGCCTGTTGCCAACCATTCAGGAGATGAATATCAGGAGGTCCTCTGCAAGAGAGTGGCTCAGAATTTATTTACAGTCAGACTGCCTGGTCTTGATTCATGTTTCTACCACTGAATGATTTGGCGACCTTGAATAAATTAATTAATTACACTAAACTTTATTTCCCCCCCCCCTTTAATGTTAGGATAGTATTAGTACCTACTCCACATATTTGATGTAAGAATTTTTCTAAAGCATTTTATGCAGTGCCAACCACATAGTAAGTGCTCAATAATTATCAGCTACAATTAAATTTCTACTGTAGTATGACCTAAAATTAGAGGGATTTAAAGAAGTTTAGAAATCAGAAGATGGCTCAACACTGAAAATTTGGAAATGGGGTCAACAGATAAAGTGTCCTCTATGTATTCCGTATGTTTTTTGTGAGTACTCACTCTGTGCTAGGAATGTATAGGTGTAAAGAGATGAACCAGTGCTTGTCCTTCCCTTTGTGAAGCAATGAATGAAACATAATTGAGACATGCACTGTAAATCCCAGGTTGAGGATTACAAAAAGTTGGAAACCAAAACCAAAATCTGAATTCCTTGACCTTGGGAGAAGTCTCCTGTTTTTTCCAAGTGAACGGGCTAGGACCAGATTCAGAGACAGGCTCCCCGGGAGCCTTTGCCAGCTGACTCACAGAGGTTCCCTGAGTCTGGGCCACAGCTCATGCTCCTGGTCCAGCTATGCCCTCCAAGAGTGAGTGGCCTCCTGTGCCTCTAGGGGGGACATGGGGAAGCCATGAGGGCAAAGGCGTAGGTGACCTACCAGCACCAATGCTCTTCCTGTTTAAAGAGCAATTTTGGTTCCAGATCAGAAAGTTTAGCAACCCTGACAGGTTTAAAATAACTTCTGACAGCAGGGTAATCATAACAGTTTATCTTATGTTCACATAGCACTTTTAAGTCTTCAGAAAAAAAATGTGTCCATTTGCATCTTGCTTTGGGTTTTCAGTGGCACTCTGTGGTGTCCTAAACAGCTTCCATATGCATAATTTTCAGATGAAGGACTGAAGCTTAAGCAGTTTAAGGGACTTCTCTGCAAAAAACACAGCTAGCAAATGGTACATCTGGAACTAGAACCAGGGCCTCCGGTACGCACCTTGTGTATTTAAGGGGTAGGCAGCATCGTGGGCTTCCTGGATGCCTGGGCCAATCCTAAGAGAGGACTGCACACACAGAATTTAGGGTCCACACAGGCAACCGCCTGAGCATGGTTTCTGCACACCATGATTTCCTGCTGCTCCTCTGGTACCAGGGGAGTATTCATCCCTTGAAACCTACCCCTGGTATTAGAGCTCCTCACCTTTGTCCTGCCACTTGAATGTATCCCTTCCCAGTGTTAGTTGCAATGCAGTATGCAGCATCTGCCGTGAAACTAAACAACCGTTTAAAAACTGTTCGGCAGCAATGGAATTACAAATTGTATATCCAGTTTGGGTAATTTTAAAAAATTTAATAAATTATTTCATTGTTATTATTGTTGGAGACAAGGTCTCACTCTGTCACCCAGGCTGGAATGCAGTGGTGCGATCATGGCTCACTGCAGCCTCAAAATCCCTGGCTCAAGTGATCCTCTTGCCTCAGCCTCCCGAATAGCTGGGGATGTAGGCACACGTTGCCATGCCCGGCTAGATAATTTACAAAAACACTTTCTAATGTTCTTCAATTGATGAACCATCAACTTAAAAGTTTTATCCATTGTTTTTGGTTTCACCATCCTGCCCGTCAAGAGGCTCCTCCTCCGTCTCTGACCCTTGGAGTCACAGTTCCTTCTTGCTACCACCTCATCTCATTTCACGCACCAGTATAAAAAAAGCTGTTTTTTGTTTGTTTGTTTGTTTGTTTGTTTGTTTTTCCCCCAGCTTTAAGTACTTTTCTGTCTGGAGCCCAATGCCTATCTTTGGCTAGAGATTGAAAATTGCTTTTCATCTCTCCTCCTCTTCATCTTTGGAAATTTCATGATCTCTTTGATTTTTATATAATGGTTACGATTATGGGTTCAGCAGTCATATTGCCTAAGTTTGATTCTGGACTAGGTACTTATTAGCTGGGAGCATTGGTTAAATTATATAATCTCTCTATAGTTCTGTTTTCTCGCCTAAAAATAGTAGTAATAGTCTCTACCTCATAGGGTTTTTATGAGGACTTAAAGAGCTCTTACTTGTAAGGTTCTTGGAATAGTGCTTCACTAAGCACTGTGCGTATATGTGTGTGTGTGTGTGTGCGCGCACGCATGTACGTGAGCATGTGAGTGTTGTACGTGAACTAGAGATGTCTTTGTTCTGGATCTTACCACCCAGAACCAAGTATAGTTCTAAACTTACTCTCTAATCTCATTGAGAACAGCCTCTACTCCCACCCTGTCTGTGTTCTGTGTTCCTCTGAATCTCTTAACCTCCTTTGCAGCCATGCCCACAGGACTCGTCAAACAGGATAAGAAGCCTTCCATAAATAATCTCTGACTCTCCTGGCCTCATCATGGCACATTCTAGATGGGGAAGAAACCCACATTCACTTAACATATCCTACGTTAGGATTGGTTAGACTTATTCTTAATTTGAAATGTTGCTAATAAAGTCCCACATTGTCCTGGTTAAGTAAAGAAGGCTTGGGAGCCAGATTGTTTGGGTATGAGTCTAACATTTACCATCTGCTTGAAGTTCACATCTATAAAATGGGATAATAATGGGAAATGAATTGGCTATAATGATAAACTGAGGTTATCTCTATAAAGTACCTATCAATGTGCAGTGGATGGTGCAGAGTAATTTATAATAATGCTAACTATTAACATTATTATTAAAACGCTTTTTTCCATTGAATTGTCTCTGTGTGGGGCTTTCCATTCGTCCCCAGCAGTGAAAAGTTGTGTGGTGGTACTAACTTCCTCTAAGTGAAGAGCATGTGCTTATTTAGAGACAATCATAGACAGTCCCCTGGAGGAGGTGAGAAGAGTAGAAACAAGTGACCATCACAGTCTCAGGGCAGGTTGGAAAGTGGATTTTGTTGTGTAATTGCTTCAGATTGCCAGCTGAATGTTTATGGATTCACTCTCTCTGACAACAGAAATTGTCAGTTTGTAGGATTTTATAAAAATCAATTTCCCTCCAAGCTGAAGTAGGCACTTAGGTACATTTACTGCTTATAAGAAAGGAAGTACAATTGAGGGGAAACATCCAAATGAGGATGAAAATGGACAGAGGTATCAATGGGTTCTGGAGTCTCTGCCTGTGGCTGTATTTTTAAAAACTTTTTATAGATATGACTTTATCTGGTAATAACTGCTATTCCTCTACTACTGAGCATACCTGACTAAGTCACAGGTGGAGTGTCTGTTTTAAACTTCTGGACTCATAGCAGTGTACAAAATAAATCTTTCCCCAACATTCTCAACTCAATAAGTGCTTAAATTAAAAAATGTTAAGTATAACAAATGCATCAAAAACTAAATACTTCCCAGGCAGGAAAAAGGAATGCTTTGCAGAGTCTCTTGGTTCATTCAGTCTCAGATATAAAGAGAGTAGTGAACTTAGGTGGTATTTGGTACCAAGATTCCAGGAGATGACTGAGGAGGGAGAGTCAAATGTCACACCAGTTAGGAATGACTTTCCTTGCCCAGTGCTCTCCTCAGGGCACCCTTGACCTCTCCGTTCCTCAGGCTGTAAATCAGGGGGTTAAGTGTTGGGTTGAAAAAACTGTAAAATAGAAAAAAGACCTTTTGCTGCTCCTCAGGATGGCGGGACTTGGGGGCCATGTACATGATGATGGCACTGCCAAAGAAGAGTCCCACCACGCAGAGGTGGGAGGAGCAGGTGGAGAAGGCCTTTCTGCGGCCCTCCCCAGACTGGATCCTCAGGATGGCCGCCAGGATGTGCGAGTAGGAGACAAGCACCAGGCTGGGTGGCCCCACCAGGAAGAACACGCAGGCTGCAAAGATGACCACCTGGTTGAGCCAGGTGTCAGCACAGGCCAGCCTGAGGACAGACAGGATTTCACAGAAGAAGTGGTTGATTTCATGAGGCCCAGAGAAGGGCAGTCTTAGGATGAGAACCACATGGGCCAGAGCCAGGAGGGAGCCACACGTCCAGGAAGTGACGGCCAGGGTGATGCAGACTCTCCAGGTCATGATGACGGAGTATCGGAGAGGGTGGCAGATGGCCACGTAACGATCGTAGGACATCAGCACCAGCAGGAGACATTCGCTGTGTCCAAAACTCAAACAGAGAAAGGTCTGCGTCATGCAACCAGCAAAGGAGATGGGCTTGGCTGGATGCAGGAGGTTCGCCAGCATCTGGGGCACCGTGTTGCGGGTGTAGGCGATGTCGACGACAGCCAGGTGTGAGAGGAAGAAGTACATGGGGGTGTGGAGTCTGGAGTCCAGTGAGATGAGCCCCAGGATGGCCCCGTTCCCCAGCAGGGTGAAGATATAGAACAGGGAGAAGAGCCCAAAGAGGAGCATCTGAATCCTTGGGCCCAGGAGAAATCCCAGTAGGAGGAACTCTGTGACCATTGTCTGATTTTCCCCCATTTCCCTGTGAAAAAGAAAAAGATCACTTAGGACCAGATTGTCAAAAAACACCTAGACATTATTTTATGAATTTAGTCATTTTTAAAAGATAAACTTTTAACATTAGTGATTGAGCTACACATTAAGTTAATTACTGATTGTAAGTATCCAGTGTTATAGAAGGGATTGTGTCACCAATGATAGGATACATAGAGCCATTGACACATCATGGGAAGAAAGAATGTCGTACCAAAAGTGGAAGTAAAATGACCATCTAATAAGGATTGTCTTGAAGCTGCACATATAAAAATTACTAAGAGAATTCCTGAAGTGTAGAAATAATCAGTAATGGAAGAACTCCAAATATGGGAATTAGAGTAGTCCTAGAAAAAAAGATGATGTAATCCCAGTTTCTCAGTAGAAATATCAACTATTTTGCTTTCAACATCTGAAATCAACCTTTGCACTCTGGAGCAGTTTATATAATAACAGAAGAAGTAGAAAGACAAAAAACAATTTTAATGACATTGTGATTGTTTGGGTTCCTGAGAAGGAACTAATGGATGTGCTACAAATGGGTTCTAATTGCAATCTTTATTTTACAATGGGTCATAAATAGGAACCGATAATTGGTGATTTGGCAGTTAATCTACTGATTGATGCACAGTTACTGATTTACCAAAAACTGGTTTTGAATAACAACTCACACAATTTGTAGAAATTAGATTTTTCTGGGCGAGTTTGTACATACGTATCATTTAAAACATTCACAATGCCTGAATGTTATGTTTGCCACTGCATTATATATCATTTCTTTTCTAGTCTCTCCTTTCACTTTTGCCAACCCTTTGGTAAATTTAATCCATTTGTGTTTAAGTAAGATGTTCTTTTTACATGTAGAATGAAAGAAACTATGGAGAAAAAATTTAAATGAAGTATCTTTCAAAAACACCAGAAATGACCATTCATAAAAAATTAATTGTGCTTCAGCAACATAAGAATTGCTAAACACTTTACAGGTGGCTAATTAAAACTTTTTTTGCAAAGAGCTAATTTAGTGACTTCATTATTTTGCAGATTATTATAGCAATAAATTGTCAGGTAATTGGTATTTGTGAATTGGTGATGTGCCAAATAATATTTGGGTTTTTGTCCTTAAGTCCTAGATAACATTTTCCTCAATATACCATGTAGAAATCCAGTATTTTGCCAGTGCACATGTTTTTGTTAGTGCCTTTGCTAGGCAAAAATAACCTGCGGCTGAGCCGTTGAACCTGCTTATCTCTGAAGAAAAAGCTTCTCTGGATTAAGGAGAACTTCTCCAGATTAAGGAAATATGCTGCTTTTGATAAGACCCTGGTCCAGCTGTCATTGGAGCAAAGACATGGAACCACCCTAAATGTCCACCAACGATAGACTGGATAAAGAAAATGTGGTACATATACACCATGGAATACTATGCAGCCATAAAAAAAGAATGAGATCTTATCCTTTGATGGACATGGATGGAGCTGGAGACCATTATCCTTAGCAAACTAATGCAGGAACAGAAAACCAAATACCGAATGTTCTCACATATAAGCAGGAGCTAAATGATGAGAACACATGGACACATAGAGGGGAACAACACAGTACTGGGGCCTATCACAGGGTAAAGGGTGGGAGGAGGAAGAGGATCACAAAAAATAACTAATGGGTACTAGGCTTAATATCTGGGTGATGAGATAATTTGTACAAAAAACCCTCAAGACACAAGTTTGTTTACCTATGTAACAAACCTGCATTTGTACCCCTGAACTTAAAAGTTAGAAAAGAAAAAGTTAAAAAACTAATCTAATTGGAGCCCTAAAGAACGTTCCCACTGGATCCTTTTCCAGTGGTAACAAATGATTGTATACTTATAAGCATTATCAATAAATTGTTGATTATTATCAGCAAGACACAAATAAATTCTAGTGAATATTGTAACTTCATAACACATGGCCAAGGGTTATATTTTTTTTTTCAGGATTCTATTAAAAAAATACTCTCCTAGGCCAACCTTCTACATTTAATTGGAAAACACGCAAAGCATATGAAATATTTGGTTGTGAAATGCATTTGAATTTACACCTTATAAACATCTTTATTTATTTATTTATTTTTTTGAGACGGTTTCCCTGTGAAACCTGCCCTGGAATGCGGTGGTGTGATTACGGCTCACTGTAGTTTTGACATATCAGATTCAAGTGATCCTCCCCCTCAGCCTCCCAAGTAGCTGGGATTACAGGTGCATGCCACCATACCTAGCTAATTTTTTTAAATAAATATTTTTTGTACAGACAATGTATTATTATGTCACCCAGGCTGGTTTCAAACTTTTGGGTTCAAGTGCTCCTCCCACCTCAGCCTCCCAAAGTGCTGGGATTGTAGGCATGAACCGTGTACCCAGTCTACATCTTATAAAAAACTTAATTTCTTTATTTAGTCCTTCATTATTTCCTTTTGTAACTCCCCAAATGATTATACAAAGAAAAAAAATCCACTATGCACAAGTATGAATTTCTTTGAAAGCTAGATGGAGAGTCAAGAAGAAAGGAGAGCTTGGTGAAGACACTCAGATTCTTTAAGGACAGTTGCCACATGGGTTGAAACCCTGATTTCTTTTACAGGACTGGGTTGTTAACACACTCCTTGTGAACAAGGAAAAGGTGCTCTCACTTTTGTAATCCTGACAGTAAATACTTACTGTGTGGACAAATTAATCAATAAATACAAATGAATAAATGAATGAATGCATAGTTTTTTTAACCATCCTTTGACTGAATCTGGAATGTCTACTATAATCTGAATACTTGAAAGACACTTTTGTTTTCTTTTTCTCCCCCATAGTTTCTTTCATTCTACATGATACAAAGAACATCTTACTTAACTCAATGGATTAAATTTACCAAAGGGTTGGCAAAAGTGAAAGGAGAGACTAAAAAAAAAAATTAAATATAACCCAGTTGCAAATGTAACATTCAGGCATTGTGTATACTTTCAGGGGTGTCCAATCTTTTGGCTTCCCTGGACCATGTTGAAAGAAGAAGAATTGTCTTGAGCCACACATAAAATCCACTAACACTAACGATGGCTAACGAACTTAAAAAAAAAATCACATAATATTTTAAGAAAATTTACAAATTTGTGTTGGGCCACATTCAAAGCTGTCCTGGGCCACCTGCAATTTGGACAAGCTTGCTTTAAGTGATATATATGTACAAGTTAGCCATTTAAAAATTTGGCAAATTATTTGATGACTAATAAATTAACCAACGTTTCCATGGCTTCTAAGTAAATATGTAAGACTGAAATCATTTCTTTACACATGACGAAACCTGTCTACTTCAAAAGGTAAAACTTAAGATCTGATGAGCTGACAAACTCCTTTCTAATGAGTCACACAACATTCTTAAAATGAAAGCTATTTTTAAATCCTCAGGTCAAGTAAAGTATTAGATGATTTATTTCCAAGAATCAGAAATATTTGAGGCTGGATGCGGTGGCTCATGCCTGTAATCCCAGCACTTTGGGAGGCTGAGGCAGGAGGATTGCTTGACACCAGTAGTTTAATACCAGCCTGGGCAACATAGTGAAACCCTGTCTCAAAAAAACAAGTAAAACAGAAACAAAAACAGTAGCTGGGCGTGGTGGCACATGCCTGTAGTTCTACCCGCTTGGGAGGCTGAGGCAGGAGGGTTGCTTGAGCCCAGCAGTTTGAGGTTGTGGTGAGCTATGATAGAACCATTGCACTTCAGCCTGGGCAATAGAGTGAGACCCTGTCTCAACAAAAAGAAAAGGAAAAAAAGAATATTTGTTAAAACTAATACACTCATAACACTCCTTTGTCTTTTTTTTTTTCTTTCTCTTTTTGAGGCAGGATCTCGTTCTGTCACTTAGGCTGGAGTGCAGTGGCGCAATCATAGTTCGTTGCAACCTCAACCTCCCTAGGCTCAGGTGATCCTCCCACCTAGCCTCCCCAGTAGCTGGGATTACACGTGTGCTCTACCATGTCTGGCTACCTTTTTTTAAAAACTTTTTTTTAGAGATAGGGTCTCACTGTGTTGTCCAGGCTGGTCTCAAACTACTGGCCTCAAGCAGTCCTTCTGCCTCAGCCTCCCAAAGTGCTGAGAATACAGACATGAGCCACTGCACCTGGCCTCAAATATTCTTATTACTCGGGAGTAAAGCATCTAATACTTTATTTGACCTGAGGATTTAAAAATAGCTTTTATTTAAAGAATATGATGTGACTCATTAGGAGTTTGTTGGCTCATCAGATCTTAAGTTTTACTTTTTGAAATAGACAGGTTTGGTCATCTGCAAAGAAATGATTTCAGTCTTACATATTTACTTAGAAATCATGGAGATGTTGGATAATTTATTAGTCATAAAATAATTTGCCAAATTTTTAAATGGCTAACTTGTACATATATATCATTTAAAACATACACAATGCCTGAACGTTATGTTTGCAACTGGGTTATATTTAATTTTATTTTTAGTATCTTCTTTCACTTTTTCCAATCCTTTGATGAATTTAATCCATTTGCATTTAAATGAGATTTTCTTTGTATCACATAGAATGAAAGAAACTATGGGGTGGGGGTGGGTGGAGAAATAGTAGTGTCTTTCAAGTATACCGATTACAGTAGGCAAGATTTAAGCAAGCCAGAAATTCCAGATTCAGTCCAAAGACGGTAAAAAAACAAACAAACAAACAACAACAAAAAAAAAACCAAAAAATGATATTTAGGCATTCATTCATTCATTTGATTTATTGATCTAGTAAGTGACTAAAAAGGTGAAATACATTTGACTATATATTGTGCCTGGAATATGGTAGGTGTTCAATAATTATTTATTGACTAACTAGATATCAATTTGATTAAATATGAGAAAGCAAAACATTAATGAACTCTCCACATTCTTCTGTGAATCAGGTTCTCAGGCAGAGTAAACACTGAAAGAAACAAAAAAAGTAGCAATTAAAGAGCCATGGGCTTAGTGGTCAGATGCACATTTATTAGTTATATGACCTTGAGCACATATCTTAGCCTCTCCAAACTCGTTTCCTCTTTTTTAAAAAGGAGAAAAGTGATAGTACCTATTTTATGAGGTGGTTGTGAAGATTAATTGAGATGATCTGTGTTATACATTGAACACATTTCTGGTATGCAGTGAACACTTAATGGCTGAGATCAATTATTATCAGTCTTTAACAATTTCTTGAGTAGCCTGAAGATTGTATGAACCTGACAAGCATTGCCTCTTCAAGGTTCACAATAGTCCCTTAAAACCATGATCCTCTAAAGCTGATTTTGTAGTCTTGATTATGGCAGTGGAAGTCAACATGTTAATTTTATGGATGATGTATTCTTTATTTATTTAAATCTGGCATTGATGTTTATAGTTTTGTTGCTTTCATGCAGTTACTTCTCCATCATATAAAAAATTAGCTTAATTCTCTACATACATACATTATTTGTGATAATATGTTCAAAGAAGTTAGCATGAACTTTCCCTCAAACTATCCCCATTGCAGAAAGATAATCAGCACATAATTAGAGAGGAGTGAATTTCCTTACCAATGTTTGTAGTGGATGTGAAAGTTAACCAAGACCAGGAGCTACAACATGTCTAGGAGGAATTCATGGTAAAGTAAAAAGAGGCAACCTGGTTAGCTCCCACATTTGGACTCAAGGATCTCAGAAGAGTGAAGCACCTGAAGGTTTCTGGGAGTTTCTGTGGGAGCTGCAGAATCTTTGCTTCTGTTTCTGATTGAAAATGTATCAGAATCCTCAGAAAAGGAGGTGTTATTCTCTGATGTGCTCAGCCTGGTTGACAGCTGAGGGATCACTGGAGGAGCTGGGCCATGAAACCTCCTGCATGCTCATCTCCTTGGGGAAGGAGAGACAAGACAATTGGTTTTTTCTATTTCTGTTCTTAACCCCAGCAGGATGCACAATTAACAAACACCGACAGCCACAGAGCACACCTCTGAGACAACATCTTTCATTATAGTCCCGGAATGCTTGGATTTCATGAATCCCAGCACTGCCCTTGTTCCCCAAGCTTCAGATGGTTCAAGTGAACCTGTCAGGAAGCAGAACCAGTGTGACAATGAATAAGCTCCTGGCAGGAACCTCTGTAGCTCAGCCTCTCCCTGATGTAATCTGGGTTACTTGTGTTGCAGCAGAACTGGGAAGAAAGGACCCTGAAAAGTTAGCTGGTTCCAAGTGACCCTCCAAGGTATGGAGATGCTTTGGGGAGCTGGTGAGGGAGGCACAGAGCAGACTGGGGAGTCAACGGAGGGGCCAAGGTGTCCCGGTGGGGCTTATTAGAACCTGCCTGAAGGGAGGGTCTCCTAAGACACAAACCACCACTGTAGATCGTGTATTAGAATTATTCTCTAATCTTTATTCTGAAAGGGGAAGAGTGCTGGATTCAGAGCCCACCTCAGGGGAAGACAGGACCCTCTCCAAGATGGTTTCCCTAGAAGCTACTACCTCTCCCTGGAGGGTGGAGATATTTGCTGGTCAAAGGTATTTTCATGTTTATTTCTACTTCTTTCTTCTACTGGACATAGGAGGATTATGAATTTTATATTAAGCAATTATGCAATTTACAAACTAATGAGTTTATTACAATGTGGTCTTTGACCTGCTGGGGTTATGGTATAAACCCAAGGAAAATCTTGCCCAGGTAATCAGGGTGTGAGAACACGCTCACCTGTGTTCCAGCTGTATATGTCCACAGTGAATTGCTTTGGGGACACACAAAAATGCTCCTGATCATATGAAAAGTCTAGTGCCTAGTAGGCCATCCATAAACATTAGAATCTTTTCTTTATTTTTCTTTCCACACCCCGGTGAAGTGCAACAGATATAAATGACAAGCCTGTGAAAACAACAATTTTAGAACTTTTTTCCATATTCCTCATCATATGAACATCAGTTAGAAAAAGTCATTTTAAGGTAGAAAACAGAAAATGTGAGCTAAAACAAGTTAAATATAAGGTTTTTATGATGCCAAACAAACTAATTTAGGAAATGCATCGCCTCAAATTACATGATTTATCACATATCAAGTTGAAGAAGCTTAAGCTTCTAAAAATGGTCAGAGTAAACACATACAAAACGTAAAAGTATACGAAGGAAAATAACACAGACAGAACAGTCCGATCTTAGTAGAAATGGATATGCTTACAGATGTTTGCATGATACGCCAGTATGCAGAAATCAGGAAACTGCCTTTTGGGAGCAAGTAGTCAGCTGAAAGTTCTGTGAATAATGGCTTTAGAGAATTCATTTCTATATAACCAACACCTTAGGAACATTGGTTATAAACACACATTTGAGGGTATAAAAATTAAAAAGATAGAAAATAATTAGTAAGTAAGTATAACATTTGGGAATGTCACACAAACAAAAACTTAGCAAAAACCCTTTAGGAACATGAATATCAATAGCTATAACTCAAAATTGTCAATATTCTGTTAAAATTAAATTGAAATAACTTCTGTTGAAGACAGTAAAAATGACACAAAAGTATATGAAAGAACTCAGCACATAAACGACACAGCCAATATTAATTGAAATGAGAAATATTTACATGATCTTCCAGCATTGGGCATTTGATTTCATTGAACATTTATAACTTCTATGCTTAAAGTACTTTTAGAATTTGACCACAGAGTTCATTTGAGAGTAATACAGACAAAAGCTAACATAAGATGGGTGGGTTTAGCCACCTTACAGAGTAAATTATCCTAAGAGATGTTTTATAAAAGAGCAGCTAATAATGTTCGGAGAAACAGCCAAGACATAGGTAAATATATCTTCAGGATGGCATGACAGAAGTGGAATGAGAAGAGAGTGAAAATGCTAATGTTCTCAATTATATT
Source organism: Homo sapiens (assembly GCF_000001405.40). Classification (NCBI taxonomy): domain Eukaryota; kingdom Metazoa; phylum Chordata; class Mammalia; order Primates; family Hominidae; genus Homo; species Homo sapiens. The sequence continues at coordinate 144,240,750 of NC_000007.14, forward strand.
TCATGAATAATTATGAGTTAAAAGGGCAGAAGTTCATCTGAAATCCTTTGAAACAGAGAACAAAAGAGAAATAATTGTAAGGACTTACTTTTAGGGTTTGTTTCAGCTGCTAGTGTTACCTTAACTAAGACAAATTCCTTAAAAGATGTGGGGTCTTCTTCCCTTGCACAATTGTCTCTGGACTTAACTGCCAGTGTGGGATTGCATTTCCCAGCCCTCTTATATTTAGGTGGGGTCATGTTCTTACAAAAGGTATACAAGCAGAAGAGATTTGTGCAGCTTCCAGGGCTGCAGTGGAAGGAGGGCATGCATGGAGGAGGAGGGCATGCCTCCTCCATGTTTGGCCTTCCCATCACTGGCTGGAAGTGAAGGCCTACAGGGCTCTAGGATGGCGGGACCATGCGATGGAAGGTGCCTGGGTCCCTGCATCACCAGTGGAAGGCTGTCTGTCATCCCTGCCTAGGACTTTACATGAGCAAGATGTAAAGTTTTATTTTGTTAAATCACTGTGATTTGGGAGTTTACCTGTTGCTGTTTATCCTACCTAATACATTATTTAACATTACTATGGCGATGAGAGGAATGAGGAAGGGCTAGTAACTCTAAAGCTAAGGTATTAGGAGCTCTCGAGATCAATTCATATTCTAAAAAGCATCAACATATGGCATGAAATACTGACTTTTTGCTTATGTCATGCAGTTATCTTAGAGTCTGAGGAGTCATGGTTTATTTTGTGTGCTATTTGGTTTCTCATGCAAACTATTTTAATTAATAATATAGGTTAACTTACTTAAACATAGCCCAATATTGAATAATAATGTAAGTGATACAAAATGATATTTTTGAGGAAACACTTTGATACAATTTAGCACAATCCAACAAGATTCTAAACTGCTTTTAATAATTGCTTAATTTTGGCTTTTACTAAAATATATGAGAAATGTGTACTGTTTTGAGAACTTAAGGGGCCAGACGTTTTTTGAGAAAAGGCTTTTTAGAAATTCTAACATTAATACGTGTTTCCTGTAATATTATTGAAAAACATAGAAGGGTTTATTTCTCCTAGTTCATTCCTCTGCCTAAAGCAACTTCTGTTGACTACTTAATGTACATCATTCCAGATCACGAAATTAAATACAGATGTATGTAAACACACATGTGCATACATGTGTACTCACATACACATATACAGGTGTACGAATTTATGTATAGCTAGGAGATTTCCCTGCACAAATGACAAAGTCTTATAAAAATGTTACTTGCTTTTTTCATTTAGCTATATTTGATGAGCTATTTTCATTGCAGCTCATTTTAGATAATACTTGTTCTATTTAATAGCTGTGTAACATTTTTCATAATTTAGTAATTTCAAAATTAACACTTGATCTTTTGAATTTTTGAAATCAATTTAATACCAAATCCATGTACACATTTCTTTGTGCAGTTACATATGTAAGTATTTCTGTAGAATGGATTCTTAGAATTAGTATGCGTGTTTTAAATGTTGGGTAAATAATTTCAGTTTTTTAAATCCAAAATGTGTGCCAATTTATACCTCCACCAACAATGTGTGAGTGTCATCAACATCACATGTAACACCATTTTCCCCTCACAATCTATTGAGTAAAAAAATCTCATTTTATAGTAGATTTCCTGATTGAGATAGATGACATTGTCATATTTATTGGTATGTTGTGTTTATTCTGTTGTCTGTATCTACATATTTTTGTCCATTTTTCTCATGGATTTGTGTATTACCCTTTTGGTTTTTTCACCTATGTTAAAATATATTAGCTGCATTACTATCCTCTTTCTTAGGATGAAATTTCAGGCCAGTCAAAAATTCAGGCTCATTTTTCTCAAGCTTTTAATCATGGGTAGAAAAGACTCCATATGTCCAGGCTGGAGGAGATTGGTATAACTTAGTATAATAGTTACAGACATAGTCTCTGGCCTTTGGAACACCTAAAGAAAAGTCCTCCTGTGCCACCTACTAGCTGTCTGAGGTGTACTTAACATCTCTGTGCCTTGATTTTTTTCATGTATAAATTGTATATAATAGTAATACTTCCCTCTGGCAATTGTTATGAAGATTAGATTAGACATAAATGCATATGTGTAAAACATTGTTTGATATGAAACAAGTACTCAATAAATGCCAGGAATTAATATTATTATGTCACTTGTGCAATGCCAGCACAAATGTACAGATCTGGGAAACTCTGTGAATAAAAGTTATTCTTAATCTTTTTCAAATAGGGTAATGAAACTGTTTTTACTTCCTTAGAGAGGACAGTTAATGTGAAACTTCTTTTGCCTTATTCTGCAAGTCTTATGCCATTCATAGTTCATACAGCATAAATATATTGAAATCAATAATTAATTTTGTGGTTACTCTTGAATTCCTACTATTTGTGAGGCTCAGGAGTTCGAGAATAATTCTCAAAAATTATTCTCAAAAATTCCATTTAATTTTGTCTCCTATGTAAAAGAAAAACAACATACATTCTAGGAAGTTAATAAAAAGGCATAGAATTTGAGAACTAAAAGGAACTTAACAATCATCTAGTCCGACATTTCATTTTATATGTGGGGAAACCAATGTGCAGAGGAATTAAGTGACTTCTCTAAGGTCATGCAGTGAGTAGGTGGTAAATTGGGAGAGGAACCCATAATTTTGTGAAATATATATTTGGTCTTTGTCCCCATTTCTTGGCGTACAGTTTCTAAAACTCTAGGAATCCCCAGAGTGATAAGAGTATCTTTTGTATGTTCTGTGGTTTGAATGTGTCCCCCAAAGTTCATGAGTTGGAAACTTAATCTCCAATGTAACAGTGTTGAAAGGTGGGACCTCTAAGAGGTGATTAGGTCATGAAAACTCTGACTTAATGCATGGATTAATGGTGTTGTCTCAGGAGTGGATTTGTTATGTGGAGATTGGGTTAGTTACAAAAGCAAGTTTGTCCCTCTCTCATCCTCTCACCTTTCACCATGCAGCAAGAAGGCCCTCTGCAGATGCTGACACCTTGATATTGGACTTCCCAGATTCCAGAACTCTGAGAAATAAATTTCTATTTTAAATAAATTACCCAGTCTGTGATATTCTGTTATAGCAACACAAAATGGACTTAGACGGTATGCTAATGAGATGACTGCTGGCAGGGAGCTCTGAAATAACTTTAGGATAGGGGCTGGTTACTACAAAAACAAAGGCATGTTTAGTGGGTTGGGACTTTCAGCCTATACCTCAACCTCTGGGGAGGGGAGAGGGCCTGAAGTTTGAGTTGATCACTAATGGCCAATGATGTAATCAATCATGCCTGTGTAATGAAGGCTTTACAGAAAACCAAACAGGGTTTGCAGACTTTCTTGATTGCTGAACACATGGAGGTTCCTGGAGGGTGGTGTGCCCAGAGAGGTCATGGAAGCTCCATGCCCCTTCTCCAATACCTCACCAGATGCATCTCTCTCATCTGGATGTTCATCTCTATCCTTTGTAATATCCTTCGTAGTAAATGGTCAAACTTAAGTAAAGTGTTTCCCTGAGTTCTGTGAGCCACTTTAGCAAATTAATTGAGCCTAAGGAGGGGGGTCATGAGAGTCCCAATGTATAGCCAGTTGAACAGAAGCACAGGTCGCAACCTGAGGCTTGCAATTACCATCTGTAGTGTTGGGTGGGGGGAACAGGCTTGTGGGATCTGACACTGTCTCCCAGTAGATAGTGTCAGAATTGAATTGATTTTTAGGGCATGCAGTCGGTGTCCATTGCAGATTGCTAGGTGTGTGGGGAAAAACCTCAACGTATCTGTTGTTAGAAGTAAATTGTTGAGTGACTGTGTGAGTATAAGCAAAGGAGTAGGAAAAGCACCTTTGGTTTTTTCAATATTTTAGAGAATCCAGATGTCTTGGCTCTGAGCCAGTCATCTGAGGACCAAACCAGGCCGTGCCTAGTAGTGAACCTCTTCTCTTGACCCAACAAGATTACAAAAATTAAAAACAAACAAATAAACAGAGACAGGTCAAAAAAAGTAAACAAAAACCAAAACAGCAAGTCAAATGAAAGCAGGGCTCTTAATCAAAGTTCATCAAGAAGGTAAGAAAAATTGATATGGTCTGGGAAAACATCAGAGCTGTGAGACAGCATTCCAACTCTTGTTTTTCTCCCACTTTTTCTTTTTTCTTTTCTTTTCTTCCCCCCCCCACCCCCCCCATTGAGACAGGGTCTTTCTCTGTCACCTAGGGTGGAATACAGTGGTGCAACCATGGCTCACTGCGAACTCAACCTCCTAGGCTCAAGCAAGTTTCCCATCTCAGCTTTTCAAGCAGCTGGAACCATAGGCGTGTGCCACCTCACCTGGCTAATTTTTTTATGTTTGAAGTTTTTTGAAGAGACAGAGTTTCACTATGTTGCCCAGGCTGGTCTCAAACTCCTGGGCTCAAGCAATCCTCCTGCCTCAGCCTCCCAAAGTGCTGAACTACAGATGTAAGCCATTGTGCCTGGCCTTCACTTTTTCTTAGGAACCATAGATTTAACAATGAATCTCTATATGATTAATATTCAAAGTGTGGTCTATGGATCCGCAGCATCAGCAAGGTATGAGAGATGATAAGAAATGCAAATCTCTGCCTATTTCATTTAGACCTGTTGAATCAGAACCTGTATTTTTGCAAGATCCCTGAATGATTAATATACACATTGACATGTGAGAAGCACTGGTCTACATTACCTAGCAAAGAGTAAAGAATGGTCCTACAGGTCAGTGATGGCAGTGCTCACTCTACATACCAAGGACACCATGGGGGCCAATTTAAGGTAGTGCATGCACTGACTTCCACTCCCAGGGTGTCATCCGTGTCATTTTCAGTAATTACAGTGCCTTATGCTCTACTCTTTGGCAAGACAGAGGAGGGGAACACTCTCTCCATGGCTACTGTGCCAGCACAATCACGTTGTGTCATACTATAACCATAGGGTTTGGCAATTTGGGACAGTCTTTTTGAAAGACCTATAACCTTTGTTCTATATGATAGGAACAAATATATATCATCCTAGTTTTCTTTTATATTAGTCTCGAAATATCCTCTCTGAATGTGTTTACAATTTCTCTGTGGCCACTGACAGATGAGATGTAGTTTATTAATATTCATCTCAGAAGAAACTTTTGCAAAAACGGAATGTATCTGGAGCTAAACATGATTAAATTGACTGACACTGTATTTAATTACATATTTTATGGAGATCCTTTTTTAAAAATATAGAAGTGTGGACTACATGATTACTCATTTATTTATTTAGTCAACATTTATTGAGTAACTACTATGAAACTGGCCTGGTCTAGCCACTGAAGATACAAATATCAATAGGCCCTTTCCAAAAGAATGGTTCTCAGTTAATGTAGAGTAGATTGACTGGACTACAGTTTTATTTCTACCACTTGATATTTCGTTGACATCGAGTAAATTAATTAATTCTCTAAACCTCAATTTCCCCTCTATAAATGAGGATATTATTAGTACTTAATTCACAGTGTTGATGTGAGGATTATATCAAAAACATTTAACATATTGTCTCGTACACAAGTGCTAAATAATTTTTAAGCTACAATTACTTTCTACTATTCTGTGTTATTCAGATAAAATGATTTTTATTTTTATTTTTATTTTATTTTATTTTATTTTATTTTTTTCTGAGATGGAATCTTGCTCTGTTGCCCAGGCTGGAGTGCAGTGGCGTGATCTTGGCTCACTGCAAACCCCGCTTTCCAGGTTCAAGCAATTCTTCTGCCTCAGCCTCCCAAGTAGCTGGAATTACAGGTACATGCCACCATGCCCGGCTAATTTTTTTGTATTCTTAGTAGAGACGGGGTTTCTCCATGTTGGTCAGGCTGGTCTTGAACTCTTGACCTCGTGATCCGCCCGCCTTGGCCTCCCAAAGTGCTGGGATTACAGGCATGAGACACCACGCCAAGCCCAAGGATTTTTAAAATACAGAAATCAGAATATAGTTTAACACTGACAATTGTGTCTAAGTACTCAGCAGATAGTTAAAGGTGCATGAATTGGTGCAGCCAGTGCTTAGTGAGTGCCTACTAGGTGCTAGGCAATGTGCTCATGTTACTGATAAATGAATGAATGGATTCCAATTCCTGCTGTTGCGGAGCTCCCCATCTTAGATGTGAAATTTGATACCTACCTGAGCAATGTTCTCAGGTAAACTTTCAGGTAAATACCACCTGAAAGATTATAACCATTTTAAATATCAATAATGAAACTGAATTCCTTTTTCTTGGGGCTGTTTTTAGATAAAATGCTATAAAACATCCATTTTAGTTCTCATCAATTGGTAAGGCACTGCTGTAACACTGCATTGTCGGTCTTCTCGTTCAGTGTTGTCTGTTTCACTCTCCAGCTCAACCCCAGAGTCCTCACGGCCATGCATCCCTGACCCTTGGAGTCACAGTTCTTTCTTGCGACCACTCCCCCACTTTTTTCACATCTCTGTTTAGAGTCAAGCTGCTTCCTTTAGAAGATGTATACCCCTTTCTATCTAAAGCTGAATATCCATAGTTTGGTCTTAATTATGTGTTTTCTTTCACTGTCACGAGTTCTTTGATCTTTATTCACAGATATGCTCTATAGAGGCCGTGCTGTGTAGTGGTTATGGCTATAGGGTCAGGGATCAGATTGTCTTAGTTCAATCCTGGACTGGGTAATTGTTAGCTGTGAGGTACCAGGCAAGTTGCTTAATCTCTCCGTGCCTCAGTTTCTTTATATGTAAGGTAGGATATTGATTATCTTCTGACTCAAAGTGTTATTTTGAGGATTAATTGAGGTAATACATGTAAAATTCTTAGAGCAGTGACTGGCACAAAGTAAATAAGCTCTGTGTGTTTGTGTGTGTGTGTGTGTGTGTGTGTGTGAGAGAGAGAGACAGAGAGAAAGAAAGAAAGAGAGAGAGAGAGACTGACTATGGGTGTGTTGGTTCTGGGTCTTAGCTGAACTAAATAGCCAGTCTCAGTGAGAACTACCTTTATTCTCATCTTCTTCATGTTCTGCATTTGTCTAGAAGTCCAGTGCTTTCATGTGACTCAGCACATAAGAGTCACCATCCAGGACAACCAGCCTCTCATACATGATCTCTGGTCCTCCACGCCTTAGAGAGAACAGATCAGCTCCCTGTGGCATACATCAGACTATAAAGAAAGCTTCCTTCTTTTAATAGTTCTGCCTTGGGATACATTTACCTTATCCTTTATTTGATAACATAGATATTAAAATTCTACATTGATGTGCTATGTACAGAGGCTGGGAGCCAGACTGTCTAGGGATAAGTCTGACACTTGCTGCTTTCTGGTTTGTGCATACATAAAATAGTGACAATAGGACCTTCTTCCTGGATTTGTTATGACTAAATGAAATGGCCCATGTAAAGTGCTATTAATATGTAGCATATGCCATTGAGTGGTGAGTCAAAATGTTAGCTATTATTACAAAAACTCATTTTGTTTTTACATTTAATAAGTTCTGCCTGGGTATCTTCACCCACAGGGAATAATAATGAGTTGGGTGGAGTACTTGTTAACCCCTATGAAAGGCATACACTTATTTTGCTGAAAAAGTATTAACATGCTCTCTTGTAAAATTGAGAAAGACTCTGGAAGCAAGTGGCATCCTAATCTTAGGGAAGGTTAGAAAGTAGAATTTATAGGTAACACTCTGGGAAGCCACCTAAAATGCATGGGGACTCATCTCTAACCATTAGATTTGTAGTGAAGATTTGTTAAAGAAAATTAAAATGGAAACCAGACATGGAGAATCACTTAGATGATTCAGGCTGGGTTAGGTCACTTATGGAATCACTTTTCCTGGAGCAGGGAAAGCCAGTTAGGCCTCATAAGTGACCTAACCCAGACTGATTTGCAAACACAAGTGAAAATTAACTTGAACTATTTCTTATAAATACTTGTATTAAAGCAAAATGAAATTTAAGATTAACCACTCAGAAGCTGCCAACTAAGTTATATAACTAAAGACTTTCCAGCAGTATAGGCCAACTAAGGCAATTGTATAAAGGTAACCAATCAAATATTTTCTTTGCTTTAGTTCCGTGGTTGTCCTGTAAAAGCCCTCCCCTTGCATTCCTTTAGTGGAGCCCATGAACCACTTATAGTTTGGAGCTGTCTGATTCATGAATTGCTATTTGCTCAAGTAAACTCTTTAAAATTTTATTGTGCCTCAGTTTACCTTTTAACAGGAAAATAGATTGGCTCAGCAAAAATTTCTTCACCACCATGGTTGAAGAGCTAGCTACATACCTACACTGTCTGGTGAAATTTCCTTTTTCAGGGGTAAGACATTCTAATGAGGGAAATGATCCACAACTGGACTAACCAAGGTGGAAGAGCTGATGAAAAGACACTGGAGAATCACGCTTAGAGACAGATGTGCATATGTACAATACACAGCTCAACACTCAATGTTTTCTGAAGAAACCATAAACAACCCAAATAGTTTTCTTGGATACTCATTTTCAGCCTTTTCAACAGGGAATGCCCAGTTTTGCCTCTTTGCCAGCTACTAGCTACTGAGTTTACCCTGAACTTTGTAAACACTGTTCACTGTTCCCACACGGTCTGTAGTGTTCTTTTGCTTCTCTTCTCTCTTTTCCCTTATATATGTTCTTTTTGTTTTCCTTTTTTGTTTTCTTTTTTGAGACAGTGTCTCCCCGTCTCCCAGGCTGGAGTGCAGTGGCGCAATCTTGGCTCACTGCAACCTCTGCCTCCCAGGTTCAAGCAATTCTCATTCCTCAGTCACCAGAATAGCTGGGATCACAGGCATGCACCACCACGCCCAGCTAATTTTTGTATTTTTAGTAGAGATGCAGTTTTGCCACATTGTCCAGGCTGGTCTCAAACTCCTGGCCTCAAGTGATCCACCCACCTCAGCCTCCCAAAGTGCTGGGGTTACGGACATGAGCCACTGTGCCTGACTTATCTCTTCTTTTAAGTTTGTTCCTTCACTCAGCCTACTAGTTAACTCCTGTACATGAGTTAATAAGTTTTACACAAAATTTCTCAGCGCATGCAACACAACTAACTAAATCCCTCTATTTAACAGGGAAAGTGCAATTGTGTGAGAATGGACAAGTGTGCTGCTGGGTTTTGGGAATCACTTCTTTGGCTGAACCTTTTTATTTTCTTTTAAATCTTATGACATATGCCGTTAGTGAGTTTATATAGTTCGGTGTATTAGTCTGCTTTCACACTGCCATAAAGAACTACCCGGGACTGGATAATTTCTAAAGAAAAGAAGTTTAATTGGCTCACAGTTCCACATGGCTGGAGAGGCCTCAGGAAAGGTACAATCATGGCGGAAGCCACAGGGGAAGCAAGGCACGTCTTACCATGGCACAGCAGGAGAGAGAGAGCAAAGGGAGAAGTGCTGCACTTTTAAACCATCAGATTTCGTGAGAACTCGTTCACTATCAACAGAACAGCAAGGGGGAAATCCCTCCCCATGATCCAATCACCTCCCACCAGGTCCCTCCGCTGACATGCGGGGATTACAATTTGACATGAGATTTGGGTGGGGACACAGAGCCAAACTATATCATTTGGTTAAAGAAGTAAGTGGCCTGTATTTAACTTTTGGGACTGGGAAAATGAATTAAAATAATTCTTTATTTTACAGATATTAAAGTAATTGTGAAATAAAAGAAAAAATTGTCTGATAAAACCACATCTCATAGAAACCCAATGAATGCAACACATCTAAAATTTTATCTGCAAAAAACGAGAGAAGACTTGCCCTTCTGTCAGTAAAGCACAGATAAAGAGAAGTAAACTTTTCTGGATTGAGGCAATAATTGGGCATCAAGAGTCCACGTGACAACTGAGGCTGGCAGTTCAAATGTCACACCTCTTAGGAATGACTTTCCTTGCACAGTGCTCTCCTCAGGGCACCCTTGACCTCTACATTCCTCAGGTTGTAAATCAGGGGGTTTAGCATCGGGTTGAAAGAACTGTAAAATAGAAAAAGGACCTTCTGCTGCTCCTCAGGATGGCGGGACTTAGGGGCCATGTACATGACGATGGCGCTGCCAAAGAAGAGTCCCACTACGCAGAGGTGGGAGGAGCAGGTGGAGAAGGCCTTTCTGCGGCCCTCCCCAGACTGGATCCTCAGGATGGCCGCCAGGATGTGTGAGTAGGAGACCAGCACCAGGCAGAGTGGTCCCACCAGGATGAACATGCAGGCTGCAAAGATGACCACCTGGTTGAGCCAGGTATCAGCACAGGCCAGCCTGAGGACAGACAGGATTTCACAGAAGAAGTGGTTGATTTCACGAGGCCCACAAAAGGGCAGTCTTAGGATGAGGCTCACATGGACCATAGCCAGGAGGGAGCCACATGTCCAGGAAGTGATGGCCAGAGTGATGCAGACTTTCCAGGTCATGATGATGAAATATCGGAGAGGGTGGCAGATGGCCACGTACCGATCGTAGGACATCAGCACCAACAGGAGGCATTCAGTATGTGCAAAACTCAAAAAGAGAAAGGTCTATGTCATGCAGCCAGCAAAGGAGATGGGCTTGGCTGGATGCAGGAGGTTCACCAGCATCTGGGGCACTGTGTTGCAGGCATAGGCGATGTTGACGACGGCCAGGTGTGAGAGGAAGAAGTACATGGGGGTGTGGAGTCTGGAGTCCAGTGAGATGAGCCCCAGGATGGTCCCATTCCCCAGCAGGGTGAAGACATAGAACAGGGAGAAGAGCCCAAAGAGGAGCATCTGAATCCTTGGGCCCAGGAGAAATCCCAGTAGGAGGAACTCTGTGACCATTGTCTGATTTTTCACCATTTCACTACTAAAAAACAAACAAAGAAACAAACAAAAAACAAGCAGCTGTGTGACACGCTTTTTTTTAAAGTCTATTTTATTTATTGTTTTATAAATTTTTAGTTTGTGGAAAATTGTTAGTAAATGTCTTTAAGAACTCATTCAGTTATACATAAGTAAAGTTTTACTTGAAAACTTGCTGTTAATTCAAGTCCTTCATATTTGTAACAATCACTATACCTGAAATCCCAAATGCAAGAAATTGTTTTTCAAATAGAAAAAGTGTAGCTGACTTCAGCAACAAGAATTGCAATATACTATATAAGTAACCAACGGAAGGAAATTATTGACAAATCAATAATTCAATTTGGCACTTGACAAATGGCAGCATCAATGAATTAGCAGTAAGATGCTTAGCCTGTGAGTTGGTGGTGTGCTGAATTGATGAATTTGTTTTTTTGACCTTGGATCTTGGATCACAGTTTCCTTAATGAACTTCAACATGGTTTTTGGTGCAAACATTTGTCAATGCCATTGCAAGAACAAAATAACTTGAGTCTTATCTACTTTAGTGAGATTAAAGTGAGGAAAGGCACTGTTTTTGGCCAGTCCCTAGTTTAATTTTTGTCAGTACTAACTGGGATATAAAGGTGTGTTTCCCGAGGATATAAGAGACAGACTTGCATTCTGAGAAATAAATTTGTGAAACCCACATGTAACTGATGAGAATAACAATCTAGAGGTGAGAAACACGACACTTTCAGGAAACATTGAGTGGAGAGTTTGAGGAGCCTCCAGAAGGCCACTGCGGGTGCTTTGATGAAATCTCTGGGAGGCACAGCAGAAGAATGTGATTCATTCAGTGAGCCCAAGTGTAGTCGGTTGTATGGCGTGCCTGTCTGGAGGAAGACTGTAGGAAAAAGAAGGCAGGTGACCAATATGGAGTGTAGTCATCAGGCCAGAGGGGCAGCATTTGGCAATGCATCCTTAATGACATTCAGGGTAAGGAAAAAGGGGAACCAGCTGCACCAGGATCCTAGCCATCTGGTGATTCTATGTCTACAGTCTGGATAGATGGTTTGGGTAAATAGCCCTAGCTAGTAAAATCTCTAATTAGCCCCTCTTGCTCTGATTTCATATTCATCAATCAACTGTTAGGTAACAATTTATCTTCTTGAGCAGTTATTTCTACAAAGAAGAAATGTGTTGAGTACTAAACTTCTTGACTCCTTTTGCAGTCACATTTTCAAGTTTAAATAAATGAACATTTAGGTATCCTGGCTTATGCATTTTCCTCTTTTGCTTTTGGGTTGTATGATGCAGTTCCTGAACAAAATTCCCAAAGCTGAATCTAAAATGTGAGGACCAGACTCTGGGTCAAGGAAACCTCATTGAAGCAAGAACTGGGGAAAGAGACAGATTCCTTTCTAACAGCAACAGATGAGATATCTATTTTCTTATAAGCATTATTGATAGGTGATCAAGTTACCTTGACACAAAAATAATCTAAATAACAAATTAAAAATTCCTCACTTGTGACCAGGACTTATTAAATTTTAGGTTGATAGTAAAAATTTCTCAGTAGGTGCCGTCATATGCACCTGTAGTTCCAGCTACTTGGGAGGCTGAAAGCAGGAGGATAGCTTGAGCCCAGGAGTTCCAGGACAGCCTGGATAACATGGCAAGCCCTCATCTCATAAAATAACATAAAATAAAAAATTTCTGTGTTTATCAAACTTTCTAAATTTATTTTTTAAGCTCATAAGGCATAGAAAAATATTTGACTGTGAAAGATGTATTCAAACCCACCCACTTATAAAATAATAATTTCCTTTCTCAATTTTTCATTTCCCTCAAAAGGAAGACATAAAGGAAAAAAGAAACACAGTAAAAGCCATGATTTTTTGAAGCCAACTGAAAGACAGGTGTAAAAGAAGGAAAATAAGGTACCTCATAGTCTGAGTATTCTTTCAGAACAGTAGTCCTGTTTGATTCAGCCTTGATTTCTTTTAAAGAAATGGAGAGGGCATGTTCATTTTTATATCCCTTTAATTGTGTATGTTAATACACATTTTCAAATGACATATAAATATAAGCAAATGAATTAATAACTAAGTATTGATGTCCTTATATTAGATCTGGTTTCTTTTACAGTATAGTCAAGTATAATTATGCCAAATTCAGCCCCTTCTTCCCAAAGGAAATAAAATGCTACAATTCAGGAGAATTTCATCCCTAATGATCTGAATTAAAATGAAATTTTAAAAATGTGTCAAGAACAACGGGAAGATTCATAAAGTGTTTAAACACTTGAATTTTGAATCACTTCTCTTTTATCTATTTTTTTTCTTATTTTATTTGATACCTATGTGACATACTTATTGTTAATTAAAGACAATCAAGAGGAAACCAAACAGAGTAAATTTCTAGGGGGTTGGAAGGAGTGGACTGGGGGATTTTGCTCTACCTTGACACACGTTGTAATTCCAAATGTACCTTTCAGGCATAGAGATGTACATTAATTTATATATGTACAATTTCAGAATTTAAAAAATGACAGATTATCTGGCTAATACATGGTAAGGAAACTAGAATTTTAAAGTAAATATCTAAGAAGGCATTTGTTGCTGTATATATAAGCAAAACAGCGTAACTTTATGGAACCTGCATTTTAAAAAGCAAATCTCAAAATTTAATGATCTGTCAGGTTCTTTTTTAAAATCTTGGGCATGGGTAAAGCAGAATCGCTGAAGTGATTACCTGTAGTTAATCTGTAGCTCAGCTGAGCTGCAGGGCTGTTTACTTGTAAGTAACAAGTGAGAAATGAAAACTAAGTTATCTCATTGCTTACATAGTTATGAGCCAAGACTTTGCAAAGTTGTCTTATGGAGTCAGAGTTGATAACGTAAGTACGTTTTCTGGATATAAGAACTATCGTGGACCATGAAGAACTGAGTGTCAGTTTCATGTAACGACCGTCTATTCAATAATCTGCTAGAGGTTGATAACAATTGATCCTACTCTTGAGTGCTTCCTGTGAACTGGGCACTGGAGGAACACAGTGTAGCAAGTTGATGGTTCTGAGCTTGTGAAGATTTCATTGTGAAGATGTGCCTCGGGAGGAAAAGCAGAAATAAATAAAAAGGTACACATTAAACAAAAATCCTATAAAAAGAAAATTTAAAGTATTATTAATTATTACATCGTTTTCCTACTTTGTTACACCACCACCTACCACCTGAGTTCTTTTTCTGTACTCTTTCCATGTGCACCACAAAAACTTATCCTCCAGTCTATGGAAAATCTAATATTTATACATATTTATCTAGTACATTGCAGGTGCCTTATGCCCTCTTTAGTGCCATGCTTAATGAAAGATAAGACATAGATTTAGCATCCATTTGGGTTTATATTCTATTGCAATAAATATATTCTCATAGATTAGCATGTATTGTGACTGTACTGGCAATAATTAAATGCATAATTTATTAAACAGCTGACATGTATTAATTTTCCTGAGCTGTAACATCTCTCCATAATATACTGTGCTATACTTTCCTTTGGCTGCGAAAATTATTTCATACATTTTATCAAAATCTATAAAACAGAAATTTCTGGCTTTTTTTGTGAGTGTCATCTTTCCCAAAGAAATCTCTATCACATAGATATTTCTCCACCAAAGAAACATATATAGCCAAGTCCTAAACACTTTTACATAATTTGCACATCAAATGTGCATCTATTTTTCCCCTGGAACCATTGATATATAATATGAATAATGAGCATATATGTTTAGCCATAAAATAAATGATTTACTTCCCTTCCCATTACTTAATAAAAAGTGTTAGTAACAGAGTGAGAGTGAACCAAAGCCTAGGTGCCACCACGAGTCTAGGAGGAATTCATGGTAAGTAAAGAAAGGCAACCTGGTTAGCTCCCACATTCGGACTCAAGGATCTCAGAAGGGTGAAGCACCGCAAGGTTTCTGGGAGTTTCTGTGGGAGCTGCAGAATCTTTGCTTCTGTTTCTGATTGAAAAGGTATCAGAATCCTCAGAAAATGAGGTGTTATTCTCTGATGGGCTCAGTCTGGTTGGCAGTTCAGGGCTCTCAGGAGGGGCTGGGCCATGAAACTTCCTACATGTTCAACTCCTCGGGGAAGGAGAGATAAAACAATTGTGTTTTTCAATTTCTGTTCTCAACCCCAGCAGGATGCACAATTAAGAAACACATATTAAGAAACCGCATATTCTCACTCATAGGTGGGAATTGAACAATGAGATCACACGGGCACAGGAAGGGGAATATCACACTCTGGGGACTGTTCTGGGGTGGGGGGAGGGGGGAGGGATAGCGTTGGGAGATATACCTAATGCTAGATGACGAGTTAGTGGGTGCAGCGCACCAGCATGGCACATGTATACATATGTAACTAACCTGCACAATGTGCACATGTACCATAAAACCTAAAGTATAATTTAAAAAAAAAAGAAAAGGAAGAAAACGCAAGCTCAAGGTCAGTCAACCACAGAGCACACCTCTGAGACAACCATTCCCATCCCGGAATACTTGGCATGATTTGAATTTCATGAATACTCACATTGCCCTTGTTCCCCAATCTCCAGATGGTTCAAGTGAACCTGTCAGGAAGCAGGAACAGTGTGACAATGAATAAGCTCCTGGTGTGAACCTCTGGAGCTCAGCCTCTCCCTGATGTAATCTGGGTTCCTTGTGTGGCAACAGTAATGGGAAGAAAGGACCTGAAATATTAGTTGATTCCAAGGGACCCTCTAAGGTTAGAGAGGCAGAGAGCAGACAAGGGTGTCCAAAATGTCCCAGTGGGGCTTATTAGAACCTACCTGAAGGGAACGTTTTTCTAGGACACAAAACACCGGTGCAAATCCACTGTTGAAAATGTTCTCCAATGTCTATTGTGAAATGGAGAGATTTTGAGTTCAGCTCCTTTCGGGAGGGGAGGAAAGAATCCTCTCCAAGGCAGCTTCCTCTAGCAGTTTCCTGCCTCTTGTGGGATGAGAAGATTTGCTGTCTAAGATATTATCATATTTATTTGTATTTTGCTGAGTTCTTTTACTGGATGTAAGGCAGTCCAAATGTTATTTGGAAATCTCCTATCAATCAATCATGCAATTTAGATAGAAGTTAGTTCCATACAGTGTGATCTCTGACTTGCTAAGGTTTAGAATAAACTCAAAGGGCAATGTGGCACAGTTATTAAGGTTTGAGAGTATGCCCATCTGTGCTCTGACTCTACACATCCACTGCGAGAAGAAACATCCATATAACACCAAAAACACTATATGAAAATCTTGTTGCACAGTAGGCCACCCATCAATATTACAGCTTTTCTTTTTCTTTTGATGTTCCAGGTGACCTGCAGGAAATGTAGAAATCAGGAAACTGACATACAAAAGAAAAAGTTAGTAGCAAATGGAAACAACTTTATAAAAATATAATATGGTATATAGTATAAAAATTATACTACAGTATACTTTTTACTTTATAAAAAGTATACCATAAAATAGTTTTAAAACTATTTTTATACTATATAAATAGTATAAGCAGTATAAAATAGGCTGGGCAGGATGGCTCATGCCTGTAATCCTAGCACTTTGGGAGGCCGAGGCAGGTGAATCAACTGAGGTCAGGAGTTTGAGACCAGCCTGGCCAACACGGTGAAACCCTGTCTCTACTAAAAATACAAACCCTGTCTCTACTGAAAATTAGCTATGCGTGGTGGCACATGCCTGTAGTCCCAGCTACTTAGGAGGCTGAGGCAGGAGAATTGTTTCAACCCAGGAGGCAGAGGTTGCAGTGAGCCGAGATTGCACCACCGCACTCCAGCCTGGGCTATAGAGCAAGACTGTCTCAAAAAAAAAAAAAAAGGATAAAATAGTTTTAGGACATAGTTTTATATCTAACATGATATGACACTGAGTTATTGTGTAAAAAGTTATTTTAAAATATAAAAGTAAATTCTTTGAACTAAGACAATGAGAAATTAAATATAAATGTTTAAGACCAAACTTAAACCTAGAAAAAACATCATCTCAAAATGACATGTTTCCCATGGCATAAGAAGCTGCTACAACTTTTAAGTGTGTAGGTGGTGGATTTTGAAATCTTTCTAGATTTTTCTTTCTTGAGAAATCTGGGTTTATCTTGAAAACCCTGAATTAGAAAAATTAGATTGATTTCATTCAGCGGCAAACACAGGCAGATGTATACTGAATCATATTTCTTAAAAATCTCAAATTTAGAAGATTGTGAGGTTGAATGAGGTCATCTCCTGAAGCTTCTATAGCAGGAATGCCGATCCATGATGAAGGACAGGATTGCATTTATTTTCTTTAGATGATCTACCATTGAACAGTAGAGACAGGGTCCCTCACGGTCTGTATCCAAACAGAACCCGGATTTTTACAGACTGATCGAGGCATAATGCTCAGAACTACATCTCTTTAGAGGCTCACTTTGCAAGGAAAAAAGAAATCATTCTGCCCTAGAAGGGGGCTGTAGGAAGTATTCACAATGAGTCAATTAATATCAAGATCTCCTGTTCCAGGAAACTGTTACTAAGTATTACAAAGGAAATTTTATGTGCTCACATAAGTTTAGAAAACACTGGCTTAAAGCTGGTATAGAATTATTCTTTCCTAGAGAAATATTTACAGCATTCACTATGCTAATATGAATTGTGATCCCTAGACAGAGGCATCTGATGTGAAGTAAGTCTCAAACTTATTTGACTATAGAACTTATTTTTAAAGTCCTCTGAAGGGACCAGTGTTTTGAGGAAAACATTATGGGAGGTATGGGACTGGATCAAAAGCTAATGAGGATATTGTAAGGGGTATTGTCCTGGTGTGGAGTGGCTGCAGCACAACTTGAAGAGATCAATTTCTAGAATTTCATCCCACATCTGCTGAAATCAGTCATTTAAAGGTAGGGCAGGAGATAGCTCCATTTTAAATAAATGTCTCAGATAATTCTCATGTCCATTGAGGGCAGAGGTCCCACCAGTGCAGAGATGGGTTAAGAACCGCTCAATGATGTAACTTCCTAGGTCACTGTCAGTCACAATGCCATAATCCTTTTCATAAAGCCCTTTCTACTCCCAGCACTCTCTTCAAAGTATTCTTCACTTCTGAGTTCCTAAGACTACAGATAAGGGGATTGAGCATGGGATTAAAGAGGCTGTGAAACAGCAGGAGATATTTCTTCTGCTCCTTGGGGTTCCCATATCTGGGTCCAACATACATGATAATGGCTGTGCCATAAAAGAGTCCAATCACACAGAGGTGGGAGAAGCAGGTGCAGAAGGCTTTCCTCTGAACTTCCCTTGATTGGATCTGAAGGATAGCACAGAGGATGCACATATATGAAACTACAATTGTGGACAAGGGTCCCACCAGCCCAGAAATTGCTCCGGCCAAGACCATGTTCTCATTGATGTGGGTATCTGCACAGGCAAGTTTGAGAACAGCCAAGATTTCACAAAAAAAGTGATAAATTTTCTGGGGCCTACAGAAGGGTAAAGGTAGAAGTAACACAAGATGAATCAAGGATAAAAGGACTCCAGTGGTCCAGGAAGTCACCGCGAGGGTGATGCAGACTCTCCAGGTCATGATGGCCAAATATCGGAGGGGGTGGCAGATGGCCACGTACAGATCATAGGACATCACCACCAGGAGGAGACATTCTGTGACAGCAAAAGTGGAAAACAGAAAGGTCTGCATCATGCGGCCCGCAAAGGAGATGGGCTTGGCTGGATGCAGGAGGTTCACCAGCATCCGGGGCACCGTGTTGCAGGCGTAGGCGATGTCGACGACCGCCAGGTGTGAGAGGAAGAAGTACATGGGGGCGTGCAGTCTGGAGTCCAGTGAGATGAGCCCCAGTATGGTCCCGTTCCCCAGCAGGGTGAAGACGTAGAACAGGGAGAAGAGCCCAAAGAGGAGCATCTGAATCCTTGGGCCAACGGGAAATCCCAGTAGGAGGAACTCTGTGATGGATGTTATATTGTCCCCCATATCCCTATGACAGAGGAAATCAAGTTAATGCTCATGGTTTAGGAGAAGTGTTTAAAAACAGATTCATTTTAACTTGTTCGGCACTCTTTGGTGAAGTAGAAAAGTGTTCAGACAGCTGCAGTGAGTTTTTGTGTTTTTAAATGAATGCTTCAAGACAATTTGGTAACGCTAAAATAAATGTTTAAAAAATATATGCAGGCCGGGTGCGGTAGCTCACGCCTGTAATCCCAGCACTTTGGGAGGCCGAGGCGGGCGGATTGCCTGAGCTCAGGAGTTCGAGACCAGCATTGACAACACGGTGAAACCCCATTTCTACTAAAAATACAAAAAATTAGCCCGGCGTGGCGGCGTGTACCTGTAGTCCCAGCTACTCGGGAGGCTGAGGCAGGAGAATTGCTTGATCCCAGGAGGCGGAGCTTGCAGTGAGCCGAGATCACAACACTGCATTCCAGCCTGGGTGACAGAGCCAGACTCTGTCTCCAGAAAAAAAAAAAAAAAAAAAGAAAAGGAAAAAAAACGCATGCACACGTATACATAGGTTTCTTTTTTATTACGTTAATTTTTTAATAAAGGCTAAAATTTAAAAATAAACGTGTCACATATTAATATATCCTTTTGGTCTTTTTTTAAAAAAAATTTGGCTCAGGCCTTTCAGGGATGAATGTCACATGTCAATGTAGTACACAGTTTTTGTTTGATTCAGTGAGCTATCTCATATCCTTCAAATAAATTCTTCTTTTCCTTGGTCGTATTATTCAGAGTTTTTCTCTGCTATGTTTCAGAAACAATGAACACTAACTGATACACATGTCAAAGTCTTAAAACCACATTAAGTTTAATCTTAAAGTGGAAGGTTTAATTAAGGGCGGGCTATACTAAGGTTCGACATACCATCAGCCAAATACACCAGTGGTCATTCACCTCTTAAACTTTCCACTCTTGCACTGATCATCACCTCCACAGCAAATATCTCACAAAATCTTTTCTTATCCAAGTGTAAAGACTTATTTTTTAGCCCAGAACCTTATTTTTTGTTATTTACTTTCCCACAATGTTTAGATGAGCATTTATGTGAATGACTGAATAGATTTGCACCGTGTCATTATCTAAACACGAAAACAGGATCAGTAACTTTTGTTGGATTTGGGCTTACTATTGATAAACACTCTAGAATACACAGTTTTAAGCATTGTCTATGCAGGTGATTGGCAATAGTTCGATGAATTTATGAGGAATGCTGCAGAAAGAGTCTCTGAATTCTCTGATTGAACTCAGGCCTCCTTGATCCCACAATTAAAATGTTAGCATAAGCATGATATTGTCATTTTTGCTTAAATTTTATTCTCATTTTTTATGTAAAATTATATTGTCTTGGAGATAGGAAGGATGAGCAATAATCCTCCATTTAAATGTCCATAAAATTATAAATTTAATCCTGCAAAACCGACTAAAAAGTATTTCATTTGCATTGGATTTTTCCTACCACCATTCCAAGGATAAGTATTATGCTCATGTTGAAAAAATAAAATAATTTAGTTATTTATTGATTTCTTGTCATTTATTTCATGTTGTCCTGAGATTGGATCTAAACTTTGAGCTCCTAATCATCGCTCAGATTGTGTGGCCTCGTAAGATTGTGCGTAATAAGTAAACAAGCATCTGTACACTTGTTAACTTAATGAGCTTCTGTATGTGACACTTTAAGCCTTTTTAAAAATTAAGTGCTGGGCTATGCTTGGTGTCTCATGCCTGTAATCTAAGCACTTTGGGAGGCTGAGGAAGGAGGTTCGCTGGAACCCAGGCATTTGAAACCAGCCTGGGCAGCATAGAGACCTCATCTCTTTTAAAAAATTTTTAAAATAGTAATTATATGAAAAAAAAATTTTAAAGAAAAAAAGTGCTGGTCTTTTTTGTTAACGTTGAACATTTACCAGAGTCAGTTGCACACAGATATTTCTTGAACTTAAAAAAAGCTACCAGCCAAAATAACCATTAACATATTGATTGCTTTAATATATTAATATACTGATAGATAATATGCTGATATCTATTAATATATTTTAGTCATATTATCCTATTATCTAAAACTATTGGTGAGCAAAATTTGAGCATTAAGAGAGTAGAAATGTACTTTTGCATGATATTAAAGTGTGACGGTAAAAGCAAACAAGCAATGAAAATGACCTTAAATTATATTTGACCAGAACTCACAAAGGCAGTTAGGAAATCCAGGTGTCTAGAGATGACTGCTGTGTAAGAACCTAGATAATCTTCATATAGAAAAGGCAAACATTTCTACAGTGTGGCTGAGTTTACTGATGGTGCTGGGAACTCTGCTGCCCATCTGAGAAATGCCAAGGAAGGATCTTGCTTCTTCAAGTGCTTTTGAGAAGGGAAGGTGTTATTAAGTCATCACCTCCACAGAGTACCTTCCAATTATCATGAGAGCTTTGTGTGACGCATGAGAAAATAGGCTTCACTTGCACCAGCATGATTTCCATAGAGACATGAAGAACCCAACCACTGTTATTCTTCTAGGGGCAGAGAATTGAGCTTCTGTCTCATTCTGTCTCTGAGGAAGCCACAGTGATAAAGAGAATGAGACTAAGGCAAGAACAGAAAATGCCTTTGTAACTGAAAGGATACATATATTATCTAAAGTAATATCCTGGGACCACGTGGCTATCACAGCTACCAAAATATGTGAATTTGTTAGAGTTTCATGAATATTTATGCTATTCCTTCCCCAAACATTCAGAAAACACTTGGGAGATGCAAAGATCCATGTCTAGGTTTGTTTGGCGGTTAAAATAAAACCTTGACATTAATTCCTGCAGTCATTTCTTTTAGTGTAGTCTGCTTTCCCAAATACCCAAAAGCTGTTGGGAGAATAAACTTGAATTCCAAGGTCTTAATCATTAGGTCATTTTACATAGAAACTCAGACACTTTATTTTTAAGCACCAATCTGTAGATGTTGGAGATTCATTTTAAATAATCTGTGGGGCTCATTGACCTGTCTAGAAGAAGAATGGATAAGGCATAAGGATTGAGCAAAATTTACTTTTGAAAATTTTCTTTTTTTTTTTTGATAATATCTGGTCCTGCCCTTATGGGAAGGATAAAGCTCTGTAAAAGCACAGGGCCAGCTCCTGTTTTCTGAACCCTTTCTATGGATGGCGATGAATCTATGTATTCTACTTATCAGAGTAGGTTTACCCTCATGGATTATATTTGAGGTCCCACATCTGAGTGGTTGACATATTGTGCCAATATACCTAGCCAAAGTGCCCTTGCATTAGGCCTGGCTTGTTTACTAAGGTATCAGCTGGTTGGAAGGACCTAGGAGACTGTATGTATAAGCTGAGAGAGAGGCATCAGTGATATAGGGATCTGGGCCAACTGTTCATTCAGCCTACTTTTGTCTTTTGCATTTTCTCTTGCCCTAAAACATATTGCATCCATTATAGGATAGATGGTTGCAGTGACCATTCAGTCTTATGACTTGGTAGATCTAATAGCACTTCAGCTCAAGTTGGACAACTCCGGATTTATACTTACTTGGCATGCCTTTCTCACTTAGCTTAATAATTTCTAGCTTTTAATTTAATGACGTTCACTTGAACATTTAGAGGACATTATAGGGTGGTTAATTGGCTTAGCTTCAACATTGTTGTGTCTCAGGGACTAGGGAGGCCAGAAGAGGAAGAGAGAGAGGGAAATGGCCTGTCGGTGGAGCAGTCAGAACACACACAACATTTATCAATTAAGTTTGCTGTCTTATGTGGACGTGCTTATGCTGCCCTAAAATAATTACAATAGTAACATCAAAGATCACCTATCACAGATCATCATAGCAGACAATAATAATAAACCCATTTAAAATACTGTACAGATTATTAAAATTTGACCTAGGACACAAAATGAGATCATGCTGTTGGAAAAATGGTGCAGATAGACTTGCTTGAGGCAGGTTAGCCACAAAATTTTAACACAATGGAAATGCAATATCTATGAAGCACAATAAATTGCAGAACGATAAAATGAGTTATGTCTGTATATAGAAATGGAATTAATTTGATTGTGTTTATCTTAAATTCTGTGACCTTAATGGACTCACTTCTTAATTTAAGGAGGTTTGTAAAATAGATTTATTTGGATTTCTATGTAGAAAGTCATGTCTGTTGTAAGTAGGGACTGTTCTATTTTTTCCATTCTGATCTGTATGTCCTTTAATTATTTTCTTGTCTTATTGCAGTGTATAACTTCTAGCACTGTTTTGCATAAGGGTGATAAAAGCAGACATAGTTCCTTTATTCTTGATTTTAGAGAGGAACCATTCAGTTTTTCACCACTAAATATGATGTTAGTATAGCTATGTCCTACATAACACTTTGGTCGGTGATGGACTGCATATATGAGAGTGGTCCCACAAGATTATAATGGGGGTGAAAAAATCATATTGCCAACTGATGTCATAGCCGTAATAATATTGTAGCACAATGCATTACTTACATGTTTGTGGGATTGCTGCTGTAAACAATCCTACTGCACTCCCAGCGTGGTTAAAAGCAAACAACTATGTATTTTACTATGCATTTACTACACTCTACTAAACTTTTTGTCATTATTTTATTTTATTTTATTTTGGAGGTGGAGTCTTGTTCTGTTGCCCAGGCTGGAG
Organism: Homo sapiens; assembly: GCF_000001405.40. Taxonomy (NCBI): domain Eukaryota; kingdom Metazoa; phylum Chordata; class Mammalia; order Primates; family Hominidae; genus Homo; species Homo sapiens. The sequence continues at coordinate 144,264,312 of NC_000007.14, forward strand.
TGCAGTGGTGCAATCTCAGTTCACTGAAACCTCTGCCTCCTGGGTTGAAGTGATTCTTGTGTCTCAGCATCCCAAGTAGCTGAGATTATAGGTGTGCAACATCATGCTTGGCTAATTTTTTATATTCTTGGTAGAGATGGGGTTTCACCATGTTGGTCAGCGTTTTCTTGAACTCCTGACTGCAGATGATCTGCCTACCTCAGCCTCCCAAAGTACTGAGATTACAGGTGTGAGCCACTGTGCCTGGCCTTTGTCATTATTTTAGAGTGCACTCCTTTTACTTATTAAAAAAAGTTAACTGCTAAACAGTCTCAGGCAAGTCCATCAAGAGGTATTCCAGAAGAAGGCATTGCTATCATAGGAGACGACAGCCTCATGCATGCTCTTACCCGTGAAGTCCTTTCTGGATGTTCACACAATGTCAGAATCACTTGACCGCACATTTCTCAGAACGTATCCGCATCATTAAACAACACGTGATTGTATAGTGTTAGCTTTTTGTAGATGCTTTTTATCAAGTGGATGAAGTTTCCTCTATTCCTGCTTTATAGAGAGCTTTTATCATGAATGGATATCGAAATGTGTTAAATGTTTATTATGCATCAACTGATATAATGTAACTTTCCTTCTTTTGTTTGTTAACATGGTGGATTATTTTGATTGACTTTTTGAGATTTAATCAGGTCTGTTTTTCTGGAAACAATCCCCCGCTGGACATGGGTAAATTTTGAAAAATATACTATAGAACTCTATTTATCAAGTAAGTTATACATATCTTTATATATATATATGTATATATGTGTGTGTGTGTGACACACACACACACTCTCTCTCTCTCTCCTGGTTTTGGTATCACTGTAATAATAGCTTCAAAAAATAAATTGGGAAATGCTCTCTCTTTTACTGTTTTCTGGAAAAGATTGTGTAGAATTGGTGTTAACTTTTTAAAAACATGTTAGAATTCTCCAGTTAAACCATCTAAGCATAAATATTTATTTATTGGTAGTTTTAAAATTATGAATTCTATTTTCTTAATGGTTATAGAGTTATTCAAATGATCTATTCATGCCTGGTGAGTTGAGTTAGTTTGTGTTGCAGGAGGAACACTGCATTTTGTCCATTTTGTCTATTGTCTAATTTATGTGTGTGGAGTTGTTTGTAATATTCCTTGATAGTCCTTTTTTATGTGTGTTTATGTCTGTAGTGATATCGCCTGTTTCATTATGATATTTAAAATTTGTTTTTTCCTTTTAATTTATGCTTGAGTTTGCTAAATTTTATTAATCTTTTAACATAGCTATCTCTTTGTTTCATTGATTTAACCATTGTTTTTCTCTTGTAAATGTAAGTGTTTTCTGTTCTTATCTTCATTAATCCCCACCCTCTACTTGCTTTGAGTTTATTCTGCTCTTCTTTTTCTAGGTTCCTGAGGTGGAAATCTATTGCTCACTAGAGACTTTTCCTCTTTACTAATGCGTGCATTTATTGCTCTAAGTTTCCTTCTCAGTACTTTGATATGTCACAGTTTCATGTTTATCCAGTTCAATGTATTTTTAAATTTTTCCTTGAGACTTCTTTGACTGATAGATTATTGTGAAGTGTGTTTTTAAATTTCCAAATGTTTAGGGATTTTCATATCTTTCTTATGCTGATTTCCAATTGGATTCCCTACAATGATTTCTGGTTTTCATCTGCTCTGGATGATTACTATCTCTTTTAAATTTGTTGTGGCGAGTTTTAGGGCCTAGGACAGCTCTATCTTGCCATGTGTTTCGTCAGCACTCAAAAAAAATATGTGTATTCTGCTGTTACTGTGTGGAATATTCTGTAAATGCCAAATAGATTCTTTTGGTTAATGGCATTTTGAGTTGTTTTATATTCTTGTTGATTTTCTTTTTTTTCCTCTTTTTAAAAACATGAAATGCTTCACAAAATTTTGTGTAATCTATATTCAAGAACCGTTTTAATCTTGTTGGCATCATTCTGATTTTAGAAAGTGCTGCCAAAGCCAACACTCCTTGCTGATTTTCTGTCTAGTTCTATCAATTATTGAAAAAGGCATGAGGAAATTTCTAACTATAATTGTGGATTCATCTATATCTCCTTTCAGTTTTCTTTTTTTAAAAAAATCAATGAAAATTTATTAAATTAAGCATAAAGTTACTTTCACATTTATCTACAACCACAGTGAATACAGTTCTTGGCATGAAGACACCACAACCTTTAGAATTTAAAGCCTCCTCACCTGCAAGATTACATATATAAAACTCCCACTATTGTTTCTCTAAGAGTGGATTAGTTCACCAAGTTAAAAGTTATATGATCTAGAATATAATAAAATGGAAATGATTTACTCATAAGATTCATATTCAAACCATCTTTATTTACGAAATACTATCCTGAGAACTATTATTCCATTAAACTTCAATTTGAGAAAAGTGCAATCACTTAAGTAACAGCAGTTACTTAAACTGAAAATGAGATCAGTCAAAATTACTTTTGAAGAAAGCAACAATATTGTCAGGTTTCTTGCTGTGGTTCTGGATGTCCAGTAGCAGGCTCCTTTGAAGGCGGAATCAATCCTGAAGGGAACTCGCTTCTACCTTCAGAATGTGGGGTTGGGGTAAAATCCAGGTCTCGGATGAAGGTAAGGAGGTAAACCCCTCGGTGGATAGATGTTTCTCATTGCAAATGGAGCATGTGGTGGACCTGGGAAATCCCTTGGTGGAAAATAACCTCGAGAAGCTCCAAACATGGTTCCTGGAGGAGGTGGGGGGAAAGGAGGTCCTCTTCTCATGAACGGGCCCCTTGTATCCACTGGAAACAATGGTCCTCTGACTGGAGCAAGAGGTGGAGGAATAAAGCCAGGGCCAGTTGCTTCATTTTCAGCAGGGAGAGATGAATCAGGCACATTTAAATTACCAAGATCATCTTTGGCATCATTTCTACTGGATTCCATTTCTGAAGGCATTGACCTATCCATTTTATCCAAAGAAGTCATTTTAAAACTTCTGGGTTCTGCTGGTCCAGACAGTCTTTCAGAATTAGAATAAAATCTGTCTTCCCTTTGTGGAGGAAGAGTTGAATCAGGATATGATTGCCCTGGTGGAGGAAACATCATCCTACGGTCCTGTTCCACCGGAGATGACAGGGACCCAGTGTCAGAAGGAGCCCTGTGAGGATCGATTAACCTGTCATAGCTTGGTTCTCCTCTTTCATTGGTAATCTGATGGTCCAGGGGATTCCCTGGGCTGCTTGGGCCTCTTCCTCCTCCCCCTGGAAGCACAGGTGAGAGTCTGAGTGGATCCTCCAACAAAGTTTGAGGAGAGGGAAAAGCTCTCGTTTCAGATGAAGGCCGACCCAATGGTGAGGGACTACATGGGGAATGCTCTCTGCCAAATGCTGTATTTGAAACATCGAGTGCATTAGGATCTTTTTCTAAAAGTTCAAATTTCAACTCTGTTTCAGTTAATTTTTGTTTGTTGTGAGCATTTTCTTTCCTTAAATCACTGAGGTTTCTTTCAGCAGTCCGAGCTGCCAACCAATTATCATGTCCTCTTTTCTCGTAGGAAATAACCTGCTTTTGATAAAAATGAACAGTTCTCTCCAATTCTTCTTCAAGATCTTTGGCTAGCTTTCTATAGGTCTCCAGCCCTTCAGTGGCACGGCTGATCTTTTCTTCCACTCTAGAAAGCTTCTCTTCTTCCTCTATTCGGTAATTTTCCTCCACTGTTAATTTCCTGTAGAGTTTCATTTCATTTTCTTGATAGAATTCAGTCATTATTTTAAGTTTCTGTTGAAGCTTCTGATTCTCACTTTCAAAATATATGTTTTCTGATTGCAAAGATGCTTGTTGAGTCTGAAGATTTTTAATATGCTCTGTAAGCTCTTCCTTTGTTTTGTCCACTTCAGATAACTGAATAATAATGTGGTTTCTTTCTCCTTCTAAGCTTTTTAAAGAAACATTTAACTTAGCAGCATGAATCAGTTTCTTCAAAGCTCCTTTCAGAGGATCATCTAAGTTAGCACCATTTTCCCATTGACTGTTCACTTCTAATTCCAGGTTATCATCATCCGTTGTGTCTTCTTCAAGCACAGCAGCCTGATCTTTCATCATTGGCAAGTGTCCAGTCAGGGTCTTGATGTGATTTTCTTTATCATTCAGAACTTGTTCTGCGTGCACTTTGGAGTCTTCAAATGTTATTTTCTGTTTATTAAGTTCACTCACTTGTCCTTTCCATACTTCAGCTTCTTGCTGAAAAAGCTGTTTATGGCTTGTCTGAAGTTGAGAATTTTCATTCAAAGCATCTTTTATTGCTATAGCCCGTCGTTCTTCACTCATTTTAAATGTCTTGCAGATGATTTTGGCTTCAGCTATTTGTGATTTGAGGGATTTTGACTCATCTTCTAGAGACTGTATACTTTTTGAAATATCCGCCATCAATTCATCTTGTTGAGAATGTTTAGATTTCTCTTCTTTTAAGTCTTTTTCTAGACAGAGGATTTCATCCTCAAGTTCAGAATTGGACCTGTTCAGCTTTTCACAGGTTGCCTCCAAACTTCGTGCTTCTTCTGCTGCCGCCTTCTCAAAGCTGGCATCCTCTAAAGATGACTCTACTTCATAGCCTTCATACTCTTTTTGAATAAGGCTAAACTTTTCAAGTAGTTTACATTTTTCTTCAATTAGTCCAGAAAGCGTTGCACCAAGTTTTTGCTCTCTTCCCACGTAAAGCCGACTCCTAACCGATCTAAAACTTCTCCACAAAAAAAGGAGAACAACAAAAAATCCAATAACAGCTGCACATACCACCAGTTCCGATGGAAAACCATAAGGATTCTCATCTGGTCTCATACTCTCAGGTAGTGCTGCCACAACTCTGCGTAGCTCCTCCAGGACCAGCCCCAGGTAGGGCTGAGGGGTAGCACCAGGCTCCTCCATAGCGTCGAGGCTGCTCTGGCGGTCACCGCAGTAACACTGGCCACAACAAGCGGTGGAGAACACGCAGCCTTGGGTCTGGAACCCGAATGCGCACGTGACAACCAACCGGAGCGGACCACTGTGGAGCGGGCTGCGGGGGGAGCTGGGGAACGCGGGCACCCACAGGCCTCACAGGCCCATGTTGTCCCCCACCACCTCCCCTGGCCCTCTTGTTACACTTCACATCCTGAGGCAGCGCTGGTCTGAGCCCGGCCCGCCTTAGTTCTGGCAGTTTTCACATCACATATTTTGAAGCTTTATTTTTTGGTGAATACACTTTTAAAATTGCTGTCTTCTTCATGGATTAAACCTTTGATCATTATATAATCTCTGGTTTTGGTAGTTTTCTTTGCTTTATCTGATATGCACACAGACACTCTTGCTTTCCTTTCATTAATGTTTGTGTAATATATCTTTTTTCATCCTGTTAATTTGGCCTGCCCTGTATTGGTAAAATTCAAGTGAGTTTCTTGTACACAGCATACAAGAAACATATAAGAAAGGGTCATACTTTTAAATACACTCTTCTATTATCTATCTCTTGGTAGACCATTCATAATTAAATGAATTATTGATACTTTAATGCGTAAGCCTGACATTTTTTGTTTTCTCTATCAATTCTTGTTTCTCTGCTTATTTTTCATGACTTCATGTGGGTTACTTGAACATTTGTTTTAGAATTCCATTTTGTTATTTATAGTGTTTATAGTGTATCTTCTTTTTTATAGTTTTTTTGGTTGCATTTTATAGCTTAGTGGTTGCATTTTACAGCTTAGTGTATATTCATTTATATAAACATTATCACAGTCAATTGGTATCATCTTTATTCCAGTCTGAGTGAAGTATAGCAACCTTCTGTCATATTATGTCTCTTTACTCTATCAAATTTGTAGTATAATTGTCTTACATCCATTTAGAATAACACTAGACAATGCTATGATTTTTGCTTGAAACATCAAACATAATTTAGGAAATTAGAATCTATGAAAATAAAGTGAGCATTTTAAAGCTTCCAGAAAGAAATCTGACACAACCTGTTTTGTCTTTCATTTTTTCTTTCTTTCCTTTATATTCATCATAGATGTTATGATGCCCTATCTGTTAACTCCAATATCTGGATTATCTATGAGTTTGTTTTTAATAACTGATTTATTTCTTATCAGTCTGTTTTACTTGCTTTTTTGTATATTTGGTATTTTTTTTAAAGTATGCTGAATTTATGGATAATATGATATAGAACTACTCAAGAATTTTGAATTTTTTTTCTGGGCAGAATTTGTAATTACTTGCAGATCATCTTGCTGCTCTCAAGATCTAGTTTTAAGCTGTGTTATGGTAATTATATTTTATTTTCCTCTTAGAACATATGCCTCACTCCTGGGATACTGCATCTCTCCTAAGAGAATTTTTAGAGTCCCAACTGAGTTTCTCAGTTGTTTGCCAACATTTCCCCATTTGGCTGGATCTGAACTCCAGTAGCTTTCCAGGAAGTTTTCAGTCCCTGATGATCTCTTCTGCTTTCTGTATCCCAGCAGTTTCTTTCTCCAAGGTCTCCCCTCTTCTTAGCCAACTGTCACATAGCTAAGGAGTCACAGAAGGACCAAAATGGCATGTATACACCCATTTCTAGGTTCTTTCTCTCTCCCATATGGTACATTGACCCCCAATTCCTAACCAATTTAGCAGCTTTGAACTCTATTCATTGCTTCTTTTGGTTCCCAAGACCATTAACCCCTGGTTGGGTCCCATTTTCCTGTACCAAGGTCAGGAAGATGCCTTTCTGGAAAATCCTGGCAAATGTGGTACTAACCTCATGTGCCTCACCTTCCTTAAAGATCTCATACCTGACTTGCTACAACAATGTTCTTCAATGCCTGCTGATATGGTTTGGCTGTGTCCTTACGCAGATCCCATCTTGAATTGTAGCTTGCATAATTCCCACATGTAGCCAGCCCACCTGAACCATGCTCAGCAGCTGGTGAGAGGTAATTGAATCATGGGGGTGGGTCTTTCCCATGCTGTTGTTGTGATAGTGAATAAGTCTCATGAGATCTGATGGTTTTACAAAGGGGAGCTCCCCTGCACATGCCCTCTCTCTTGTCTACCATGTAAGATGTGCCTTTGCTTTTCCTTTGCCTTCTATCATGATTGTGAGTTCTCCCCAGCCATGTGGAACTGTGAGTTCACTAAACCTCTTTCTTTTATAAATTACCCAGTCTTGGGTATGTCTTTATTAGCAGCATGAGAACAGACTAATACACCTGCCAAGAATTTTTTCTATATTTTGGCCAGATTGTATAGTTTTTTATGGTGGGAGGGTGAATCTGACACAAGCTATTTGGTGTCAAGTAGCCAAGTCACATACTAATTTATTTTTAATGTAAAGCTATACAACCTTCTTTCTATACCTAAATTTTTAATTAAAATATAATAATTAAAATATTACTAAAAATTTCTTAATGATTTTATTTCATGGTGAAAGAGACTCAGTCTGGAATGTAAAGTATGTCTTACCAGTATTTCTCGTTTTGCAGGACATTGTCTAGGTGTCCCTCTCCCATGGATGATCATTAGTGTGGTTTATTTTTATGCTTTGAGAAAATAAGTCTGTAGTATGTTACTATATTCTACTATATAAAGATACACTTCAACTTATGATAGGATTATGTTCCAATAAACCCATCATAAGTTGGTAATATTATAAGTTGATGATGCTTTTTTTAAAAAAATATAGACTATTGTCCTGTTGCCCAGGCTGGAGTGCAGTGGCTATTCTCAGGTGTAGTCATAGTACACTATATTCTCAAAGTCTTTGAGCTCAAACAATCCTCCTGCCTCAGCTTCCTGAAGAGCTGGGACTGACTATAGGCACACACCACTATACCTGGCTTGAAGATATGTTTAATAAACCTAACCTACCAAACATCATAGCTTAGCCTAGCCCACCTGAACCATGCTTAGAACACTAACATTAGCCTACAGTTGGGCAAAATCATCTTACACAAAGCCTATATTATAGTAAGCTGTTGAATATTTCATGTAATTTATTGAATACTGTACTGGCCTAGAGTTCCCACCCAGCCCTTTAAACTCCTGTATCCAAAGGTGACATCTGACCCTGCTTTCTTTTCTCTCCCTCTTAGACCCTCACTCACTGTAACACTCCAGAAGGTCCAACTCCTCTCTTGGCATGGCCAAGGCTGAGATCCACCGAAGCTTTTCACTTCTGAGAAAACAAAGCAGGGTCATAGCATCAATTGTGGGGGTGTAGGAGGAGGGCCAAGGATGGGGATGGCAAAAGACTGTGGGAAGGACTTATCTAGTTCCATGACTTCTATCAAACACTATATAGGACTCTTTTTGGTTGGAAACATGACACAATCTTGAACTATATGTGAATGTGTCTTGTCACACTTTACTTTTCCTCTTCTCTTTCCAGAATTATCCTCCTAATGGCTTCTCATATCTTCCAAGTTGGGGCGTAAAGTTCATTAGTCATAAAGTCTGGAGATTTTCTGTTTTGGAAATTGTGCTAAGCGAAGTGTTCATTTCAGTTTAGATTCCCTCCATCATTTGGCATGATTCTTGACACTCGCTTGCCTATCTCCCTTCAACTAACTATCTCAGAGATGATCATTGTTTCATAATAATAATTAGATCAGGGAGATATGTCTACTGTTTTATTTGTTGTTGTTGCACGGTGTAATCCAAGCTTAGGTTTGTAATCATCTGAAGGTTTCTGCATTCTGTTAGCCTCTGTGCCCAGTTGTGCCTAGGTAACTGGGAATGGACTATTACTGTTCCAGGCACAGTGCCCAAAGCACCAAACCAACAACATGCATCTGCACCTGATTATTTGACTTATGTGCTGTTTTGCACACAAACTCCGATACTAGTCCTTCTGTTCAATAAATGAGAACAGGTGTTATCGGTCCCACTCTGAAGTATCTTCCAAGGGACAAAACTGAAAAAGTGTCTACAACATAGGGATCCTCAAACACTTAGATACGTCAAACTTTTAAATGACTGTTCATATATCTTTTATAATAGCAATAACAGCTACAGGCTTTTACATGTTCATTATTGCAGGCACTGTGTTCCAGATTTTATAGGTACTATTAATACTCTCAAAAATGTATGTCTGTGTGAATGTATTTTATTTTATTATTATTGAAAACATGAGCAAATCAGCATTCTCAACACTATGGATTTCTGGTCAATAGAGGACTGGTTTGGAAGATGGGAGCACAGAAAGTAAAAGTCACCCAGCACTTGTCTTATTCACATCTGTGCCCACCAGCTGGGGCATAGAAGGGTTTCTGCCTCAGGCATGGAGGCATGTGCTCACAGATACCAGTATTCCAATTCCTTGCTCACTCCATACCAGTCCTTCTCCTTTCTGATACTACACAGACCTTGTCCTTCTTGAGTAAAGAGTATAAAATAGATGCTAAGCCTCGGTGGTGACTTTGTACCCTCTCCCACCCCAATCTCCTGCAAGTTATCCATTAGTTTTAGGAGTTTGAATTTCTCTATGGTGGTCCCCAGTCCAGAATGGGCTAAATGAGGCTGTGGCTGTCTTCTGGACACATTTTCTGCCTTGGTCTCACTTCTTTTCTCGGCTGCCCATCTTCCCCCACCCCCAGCTCCTCTGCCCAGCCCCATCTCACTGAGTCTCCGTGCGGAAGAGGAACTCGGCCTGGGCGCCCTGAGTGTTCTGCCGCAGAAAGAGTCGGAACAGGTTTTTGTGAGGTCCATGTAGCTTCATTTCACACTTTTCCCCCCGAATGGAGGAGAAGGGAGCATGGTCAAATACCAGGAATCGGCTACCCCTGCAAAATACAAATCTTTTCAACCTGATTCTAGAGTTTCCATACTTCACCTACCCTCATAACCTTGGGTTCGAAATCCCTACATCTACAGCCTGCAAATTCCCACAAAAACCATAAGATGGTCCTAACTTGCTCCCAAGATGGTAGCTCCAGGGTCCTCAGGGATTTGTCCTAGTCTGGCAAACCACACACCTAGTGCAGTGGATACATTACCACTTTAAAGAGGTGAAGAGATGGAATTTATATACATTTCCCAAGAACCTTAAGACCAGAGACTTAAGATCTGGAATTAGCTAAGTATCTCTAGAATAGCAGGTTGAGGCCAGTCCAAAGAAGCCACAAATAGACTCATGTGAGAATGTGATAAGCTAATTTGCTACATTTTGCTCTGTGTCTATACCATATTACATGTCCTGCTATGTGGTCTCATGATACAGTTTGATGGGATCCCCTTTTTGCTTTGGGCTTGTTTTTCTCTTCTCTAGGCTATGACCTGGGCTCTATGGGTTAAGCCATTGAGAAGGGCTCTTCTAGGAACATGACCCTTCTCTCTCCCTTTCAGACCCCCCTCTTTCCTCATCCCCTTCCCCTCTTGTGCCCTGGCCTGCCACTCCAGTCACTGACTCTCGGGGCCGAGACAGCAGCAGACAGTCATTGAAGAGGTGCAGGTGGACTGGACGCGTGTTCAGCTTCCTTCGTAGCCCTGGGGAAGCACTGAACTCCAAGGCTGTCAGCTCCCCACTTTTCACCAGCCAGCGTGACTGAGAAATGAGCGGGAATATCTACAGGGCAGAGGAAGAGAGAGAAGGCAGTGTCACAGATGGGAGAAGCATGAGGTTTGCTCCCAGTCCCACCCTCCTCCCCATGCCACTTCCATGCAAGTTCCACTTAAACAAGCATCTCTTCCACATCTGCCTTCTGGCTCATAACCCATCACTTAGATTCTCTTTCTCTCTGAACCCTCTAACTACCACTGTCCACTGGTGTGTGGCTCCCATGGTTGTATGCTCAGGTAAATAGAAGATGCCTATGGTCCAACTCAGGATAGTGAGTGTGTGGGACAGCTCTGCCCTAGAAGCCTGAACTGAAGGAGGGATGGAAGAGTCCAATCAGGGTATGTGATGGAACAAGTCAGTGAACACTATATGTGTCTTAGAGGTTAAAATAAAATATTAGAGGCAGGTCTGGTATCAATTCCATTTTTTATACCAGAGATATGTGAGCAGCTGGAATCAAACATGGGGGTGAGAAGAACTAGGTGGGGCGTCTTGGAGCTGGAATTTGGTTAAAGATGAGGGTGTGGTCTATGCTTAGTATGTGAATAAGGGATTTTCCTTCTTTTTCAGGAGTGTAAAGATAGTATGTGTTCTAAGCACGGGCGTGGTGGCTCACGCCTATAATCACAGCACTTTGGAAGGCAGAGGTGGGTGGATCACTTGAGGCTACGAGTTGGAGATCAGCTTGGCCAACATGGTGAAACCCCATCTCTACTAAAAATACTAAAATTAGCCAGACATGGTGGTGCAGACCTGGAATCCCAGCTACTCGGGAGGCCAAGGCATGAGAATCGCTTGAACCTGGGAGGTGGAGGTTGCAGTGAGCCAAGATCGCACCACTGCACTCTAGCCTGGGGCGACAGAGTGAGACTCTGTCAAAAAAAAAAAAAAAGATAGTATCTGTTCTAAGTTGGAATTTGAATGTGGAATGTCTATTTTAGATTTGTATTTCAATGAGGGATGCTGGCTCTAAATTTGGATCCAATCTTATGTGGGTTTGATTAGACTAGAAAGAGATTTGATAAAGTAATAAATGAATCAAGCACCAAAACATTCTTTTATAAAGGCTCATCCTGAAAAGTTCTCTCTCATTTGCCCATTTCTCAAATGCACCCCCCTTGTCCTCAGGTAACCACTGTTCCTTTTTTTCTTGTTCTCCTTCCAGAGTTTCCTTATGCACACACAAGCAGACACCTGTATAGATTTGTATCCTCCCACTTTTATACCAAAGGTGATATAATATACACACAATTCTTTACCTTCATCTTTTCACTTAGCAGTATGTCTTGGAGACCCAAGTAGGCCTCCCAGAAATAGGACAGAATAGAAGGTGGGCAGAAATGAGGGGAGGGGCTGGGGATAATGTGAGCAAGGTGGTTCCAGGTTAGGGGGTGATCTGCAGGACATGTTAAGGGAGTTCATGGGCAGGGATGGGGTGCATGGGACCGACTCACTTTGCACTCAAACTCAATCTTCTGGCTCAGGTAGATTAGCTCCTCTGTCCGTCGCATACTCTGGACATTGTTATTGCAGTCCCGGATCAGCTAGGGGTGCAGAGAGTGAGGAAAGGGGAAGGGCACTGTGTTAGAGGCTTTGACCTTTGAGTCCCTTGCAAGCAATCTGGAAATAGGTTATGACAGCCTCAGTCATTTTTCCCAGGCTGGAATTGGGCAGGCAGTATCAAGCACAAGTCCTAGGCAACTTTGTATGACTTGGGAGAACATTCCTGAACTGAGTAAAAGTGAGACTGAATGTGGGGGTGATGGTGGAGAGGGCACAGTCCCTTGATGTGGAGTGTGCTCGGCGTGGGAGAGGTGGCCGTGGGGTGTGTATGTTTGGAAGTTTGGCGGATGCAGGGAGGTGGCTGAGCTCTCCCAACAGGGTCCCACCTCCCATGCTCCCTGGAGTCATGGGCCTAGGTGGGAAAGACCTCTCTGAGAAGAACACACAGAGGGTCAGAGTGGAGGTGGTGGCTGCCTACCTGCTCCAGGGCGTGGTGTGCCTTCGTGGCCTCTGCCTCCTCCGAGGAGCCAGGCTGTGTTCTCTTCAGAATGTTCTATTGAACAGACAGTAGGCAGGAGTGAGATGGGAGGAAGAAATGGGAAACAGGAAGAAATGATTGGGGGCTGGTGAATGGAGAAGCTCAGGGACCACATTTTAGCAGCAAATATTTCCAAGCAAGCAGGCAGTGGGCAGCAGGGAGACAGGATGTGGACACCTGGCAGAAGAATGGTTGGTCCTTTGTTGTGGGTCTTCCTGAGGGCATCCCTTTGAGTTAAGGGGAGAGGATCAAGGTAGCATCTGCCCTACCTGGAGCAGCAGTTTGAGGCGGGTGATGCGTTGGAAGGGCAGAATCAGAAAGGACTTGAGGGAAAGGCGCTGGCAGACGGGGTCGCTCTCCAGCTTCTCCAAGACCTCCCGGAAATTGCTGTTGCTATTCCTGCACGGAGAGTGAGCCTTAGGGGAGGGGGGATATGGGGAGCAATGGGGGATGCAGTGAAGGTGCGGGGAAGGGAGGTCAGTGGAGTATCTGTGGGCTGGGAAAGAGCGGTGGGAGCTGATGTACAGGGCGCTCAGATGTGATGCTGGGGTAACCAATACAGAGGGCGGAATGGGGAAAGTGTGCTCTTGGGATAGCCCTCTGGGCTGGGGACTGGTGCATGGTCACCTCAGGGCCTACATGGGGATTAAATGGGGGATGAGTCTCACATCAGGCTCTGGAAGGTGCGTTCCTGATAGGTCTGGTTGGTGACATAAGGCAGGTAGACCCGGCGGAAGTCTGGGGCGTGGTTCAGGACTACGTCACATACTTGGAAGGAGAAGATATTGTTCTCAAAGTTCTCTTCCAGGTCTGAAAGGAACCTGTACAGGATTTAAACGAGTCTCATGAGACTTCTGGACCTCAGCTAAACAGCTGACTGGCCCCTGGTGTACACTGAGCTGGTGACTTCTTCACTCCATTAGCCAATAACTTCTATTGACTCTCTGCTCTGTGCTCCTTGCTATGCACTAGAATTCGCTCCAAAACTGTCCTGAGTTTGAGCCTGATTTAACACTTTTATTCTAATATTCCATTTCTCATTCTTCTTTTGACCCTGTTCAGGTTTTCTGATCTTTAGATGGTTTTTCCACCTCATCTCCAATGCAGTGCATGACCACAGTAATCCAAAACCTCAACCCAGGAAGCATTGCTCATTTACTTATCCATTAATGGATCTATCCACCCACAGACCCTCTCCTCTTCTTGCCATTCTTCTTCCTATAACCATCGGGAATCATGGAAGAAACTGAGGCCCAATTTCTTCCCATAACTGTGAAAATGAAAGGGTTTCTAAGAGGGGAAAAAAATAACGGAACATTTAAAGCCTAACAACAGTGAGGCTGAGTGAGTGGTATTTAGGAGAAGGGGAGTCTCACGTGGCGCTGACGTCTCGCACATCCTGTAAACGAGAGAAGAGCCATTGGTGCTCCTGGTTGGAAAGTGTGGCCCGGAGTGAAGTTGAAAGTTGGAAATGATCCACAGCTATGTTTAGACTGCGCAGGTAGGAGGCCTCTGACACAATCAGCTCAAATTTGACTTAGGAGGTTGGAGATGAGGAAGATTAATTAAGGATTTTATTTACCCCCTGGAATATGCCAGCCACTGTGTAATGTTTTGGGGATAGAGCAGTGAGCAAGATCCTTTTATGGTTCACAGTCACACCAGAACCTAAGTTGATCTGCGGGGAGGGGAAGAGCATTTGAGTAGGATTTAATCTAGGGTACAGGTACAGGCCTTCAAAGGTATAAAAGAAAAATATGCTTTCAAGAAATCTAAATAACAAAAACAAGAACAAAAAATGAGTAACAAAGTGAGATGGATATGTTAATTTGCTTCACTAGGGTAATTCTGTTACTATTTATATGTAGCCCATAACATCATGTTGTATATCTTTAATATACACAATGAAATTTATATTAAAAAAGCTAAATAGACTGGGTGCAGTGGCTCACGCCTGTAATCCCAACACTTTGGGAGGCTGAGGTGGGTGCATCACTTGAGTCTGGGAGTTCAGGACCAGGCTGGGCAACGTACAGAGACCCTGTCTCTACAAAAAATACAAAAATTAGCCGGATGTGATGGCGTGCACATGTAGTCCCAGCTATTTGAGAGGCTGAGGCGGAAGGATTGCTTGTGCCTGGGAGGTGAGGTTGCAGTGATCCCAGATTGCACCACTGCACTTCAGCCTGGTGACAGAGTGAAACCCCATCTCAAAACAAACAAACAAACTAACTAAACTAAATAAATTGAGCATTTTTTGAACCAAGTGTACAGCAGTAGTGGCCAGAGATGAAGCTGCAGCAGTCGAGGAGGCCTGAAGGGTAATGTAAACAATGTAAAACTGTTTGGACTTAAGACAATGGGACAATGAAAACAGGCTTTACATAGGAGAATAACTTGACCACATTTGTTTTATATAAAGTTATTTTTTTTTATTTTTTGGAATTGAGATGGAGTCTTGCTCTGTCACCCAGGCTGGAGTGCAGTGGCACGATCTCAGCCCACTGCAACCTCCGCATCCCAGGTTCAAGCCATTTTCCTGCCTCAGCCTCCTGAGTAGCTGGGATGACAGGCATGCACCACCACGCCCAGCTAATTTTTGTATTTTTAGTAGAGACAGGGTTTCACCATACTGGCCAGGCTGTTCTCAAGCTCCTGACCTCAGTTGATCCACCCGCCTCGGCTTCCCAAAGTGCTGGGATTACAGGTGTGAGCCGCTGCGCCCAGCCTGTTTTTCATAAAGTTATTTCTAAGCAGAATGAGAAGAAAAGATGAAAAGAAGCAAAAGCCATCCATGTTAAGAAACTGTTGTAATAATTCCACATGAGAGATGAAGGTCTGAATAGCCATGGAGCTGAAGAGAAGTAGATTAATTTTATAATTATTTATGAGGTAGAATTGGAAGGGTTGGATTATTTGCTAGAAATGGGGCCTCAAAGAGAAGGAAGGTTCAAAGCTAATGTTTTGTACTCACAGCAAAAGCTTTTTGAGTCGGGCACCTGGGTGAATGATGGAGTCATTTACTGAGCCAGAGAACTTTGAAAAGGCATAGATTTAGGGGATGAAGGTGATGAGCTCAGTTTGAGGTTTGAGGACAGATGAGAAGCAGGAGACAGAAGCAGGATATCTGAGAACAAGATGGCGCGAGAAGCAGGAGACAGAAGCAGGATATCTGAGAACAAGATGGCGCAGCTGTGGTTTAATGCATGCCCAGCATGTGAGAACTTGTCTGGAGGTTCCAGCAGGGGGCGCTATGACTCATGACCGTGCCTCTAGCTGGGCTCCTCATGCTTTTCATCCAAGCATGTGGCCTCAAGAGAGATGCCTGGATAGAAAAGAGAAAGGAGACACACCCTGGTGATGACTTGGATGACCAATGACACAGCCAGATGACCCTCCCATACAACAACCCTGAACAGGGACACTGAAGGCTCATTTGCATCCTTGCTCTAACATTCACTACACGACTGACTTTGGGTGGCTCATTTAACCTCTCTGAATCTCACTTTTCGTGTCCTTTTATGTGGATATAGTGACCCCCATCTCACTGTGGAAGATGCAACAGTTGAAAGAAATGGAGCCTGTGAAAGCACTTTGTGAACCCCAGAGGTACTACTTTATAAAATGAATATGTGTGTTTAAGAGATAGAAATGTAAAGCCCTTTCTTCTCACAAACATGAGACCAGGGCTGGAATAGGAGTCCTGCTGGACTTCCCAGCATGCTGGAGTTGGTAAAAGAGAGCTAGAACTCGTGTCATCTCCCACTGTTTGGTCAACAAATATGGGGAAGATGAGTTATTTTCTAAATATCTTCTCTGTGCTTAAAAATTTGCAGCCACAACAGGGCTCTCAAGTCTGAACTTTGCAAAGTCTAAAAATGTATTCTCTCTCTGACTTGGTAAAAGCATTGTCTATCCATAAGTCCTCCTGGCCCAAATTTTACTCCTCCCTGCCTCTGAAAGGCAGAGAGTATGGCACTAATATTTATCAAACTATACATCAAATATTACTGCTAAATTAGATATGCATTATTTCATTTAAACCATTCAGCAACCCTGAAAGGTAGGCATTATTATCCTCAATTTGCAAGTGAGGAAACTGAGATTTAGTGATGTTATAAGGCTGCCTAAGCTAGCAAATGGTGAAGTCATGTTTCAAACCTAGGTCTGGCTTACTTAAAATGAAAAGTCAACATTTTTTGAGAAATTACTATGTACCAGGCATTCATGTTTCTTGATCCTTGCAGTAACTGTTTGTATCTCAGTTTTACAAATGTCATTTGGCCAAAGGTAAATTGGAAATATTAAAGTGGGCTCTGGGGCTGGGCTCAGTGGCTCATGCCTGTAATTCCAGCACTTTGGGAGGCCGAGGCGGGAGTATTGCTTCAGCCCAGGAGCTCGAGACAACTGGGCAACATAGTGAGACACCATCTTTTCAAAAAATTAAAAAATTAGCTAGGCATAGTGGCACATACCTGTAGTCCTAGCTACTTGGGAGGCTGAGGCGGGAGGATTGCTCGAGCCCAGGAGGTTGAGGCTGCAGTGAACAATGATTGTACCACTGTACTCCAGCCTGAGTGACAGAGCAAGACCCTGTCTCTAATAAATTAATAATTTAAAAAAAAAGTGGTTTTCATATCCAGGTCATTTCTTCCAGAACCTAATTTCTTAAACATTATTCTATTCCATTGTTCCATACTGTCTTTCTGGGAAGAAAGGTTTTACCCCATATTTCAGACAAATTAATAAGAGGCGCTCTCCATGTAAAACTTACTAATGGTAATAGCTTAGAATCAGACAAACAGCCTCTAGTTCAGTCTTGCTGTTGGGAGTAACAATCAAGCAGGGACTGATGATCACTCTAAGGCCCCTGTTAGATTGATGGACCACAGGACAGCTGCAAAGGGCCCTCTTCAAGGGACCCAACAAAGAGCCCCGGAATGTGCCTTGGCTAAAGAGGAAAACTGTAGTGTAGCCTGAAACCCTGGTTGAACAGGGAAGCTTTCCTCTACCCTGAAACAGCAGTGATGATGGGATTAACTCCACATTCCTCCACACAAATTCAGAGGCAATGGCCACCATGTATAGCCCAGACCAACATCAGGTAGGAGCAAGTGGCCTATGGCATGAGGAGGTGAGGATGAAAGGGGAGGTGGTGAAATCCAGAAAACAATTCAACTTCTTCAGAATGGACATGACCCACAGCTGTGGCATGTACACGCGCCTGTGTGGTGGGGACAGCCGACTCTTGGTGGCAGTGGTGAGCAGGAGAGAAGGATGCTAGCAAACAAGACCTTGTCATCTTTTCTGTAGCCCCCTCCCCACCGTGGCCTGCCCAGTACCTCTTGCAGCTTTTGGTCTTCATGGGTCATGGAGAGCAGCACGGTGCTGTTGCGCACCACGGGGATTTCCTGCCAGAGGGAGCCGCTGGAGGCCATGGAGAGCCGCTGCAGGTACGACTCGGAGGAGACCAGGGCCTTCCGAGGCTGCCGCGGAGAGCTAGGCCCGGGTGTCTCGGACAGGCTCTCCAGCCGCTGCTGGCTCTGGATCTCCTTATTCAGGACAACATCACTATACTCCTGGTAAAGCAGCTGGGCTGCAGGGCAAAGAAGCATGGGAAGGAAGAGAAGCAGGAAGAAGGGACGGTGAGCGGAGGCAGGGAAACAGATCTTCTGCAATGCCTTCTCGCTAGGGACATCCCCACCCCACTGCTGACATCCACAAGCCCCTCTCCAGTGCTGGGCAGAATGCCCACCTGGGTCTATAGTTCCACTTCAAGGTACTCACAGGAGTTGATGAGTTTGGAGCAGCGTCTTGAAAAGCCTCCCATCACCTCCTTTGGTTTTTTCTCCCTGTGGAGTAAAGAAGGGCTCTGGGGTACCTACTGGCCATTAGACACAGAGCACCCCAGGTGACTGTGGGGGACAAAGTCTCTAGCCTCTGGGATGTGTGCTGGGATGTCAAGACCAAATCCCCCGGAGAGGCACAGAGTTGCAACTTGACCCACTTGGGCTAACATGGAGCTTTTGTGGGGTTTAGTTCACAGCCATAGGGCTTGGGAAGATGGATGACTCGTAGGCTCGGCTGACCGAATGAGGTAGATAAAGACAATCTCCCTAAGCTGGCATCCCGGCATCTCTCTCTTCTCCTCCTTACACCAAGAAGAAACAGGAATGAGCCATTCGGGGTCTCAGAACCCTTATCAACTGAAATCCTCACTAGGGGACTCTCAGTATCCCAAGTGAAGAGAGTACAGTGTGGCTGTTAGGGGAGAGGGTGACTTACCGAAAAACAACAGTGTCTGAGGGTCCCGGATGTTTCTCCACGGCTGGACCTCTTGAATCTAAAAGTGGAAATGGGGAAGATAACTGAGATTTCAGAGGGATAGAGAGAGCCAAAGAAGATCTAGAGCAGGAGATGTAGGGGTCCAGAAGGGAAAATGGGCTTTATTGGGAAACTGGGAGGGAAGAAAGTGGCAAAGCAGAGAGCGTGAAAGAGATCAGTACCAGTGACGTCCCGAGCCACGGGTCAGGATGGGACTGGGACAAGTACAGAAGGCCTTTTCTACTCCCCAGGAGGAGAGCAAGCAGGGACTGTAACTGAAGAGTAGAAGGGAGTCCAAAATAACCTTGGGACATCCAAAGAAGGTGCTGGTTGAGGGAGAGACAGGGAGATAGAGGGGAAGAAGAAGGAAGAGCATCCCAAGGAGCTTGGAGGGCACTTCGGGGCTCTCTCTGTGTTGAGGTTAGGCACACATGTGAGCGAAGCCAGCAGAGAGAATGTTAGGAACCCTAGGGACAGAAGATGGGATGAGGTGGGAAGAGCTGGGAAAAGCTTGGTCTGATGTGTCACTGTGGTCCCGGTTCTTGCTCACCTGAAGAGCCCTCAGGCAAGATGGAAGGTCTGCGCAGGCCCTGCCGGCTCCAGCCCTTGTGCTTGTTGGCCCCCTCACTAGGAGCCACAGCCTGTCCACTGCTGTCCCCTGGTGGCCTCCCTGAGTCCCGCCTGTGGGGCCAGCTGGACGCCTTCTCCAGGTGCAGATGGCTGGGTTTTTCTGGCTGCCTTGCTTGGCCCACAGGTGACCTCCCTGGGCCACTGGCTCCTTGCTGAGGGGTTGTCCTTCTCAAAGGTTCTCTCGCAGGGGCCTCAGGGTGTTCTGAGACCCCTGCTTCATCCTTAGAGGTGGGTCCCTGGAGCTCCGGAGTCCAGGGAGTGGTAGGGGAAGAGGGGCATAGGAAGTTTGTCATGTTGCTGAAAGCCATGCCAGGGGACACTTCGCTCTTACTCCTGCTGGTGGAAGTGAAAGACTCTGTTGATCTAGCTGTGGCCGGGGGCCAGGAGGTGCGTCCAGCAGAGGCAGGGAGGGGGACTGTCCAGTCTTGACAAGCAGGTCTTGTTTTGGCATGACCCCCTGAGTTCATATGTCCTCCCCAAGTGCTCCTGCTCCTCCCCCTGGACTTTGGGGGCAATGGGGGTGGTTCGGTGGGAGGGTCTATGATGGGTAGTGGGGGTAGAGGCCTGTAGATCCTTGAGCTACCAGGAGCAGAAATGGGAGGAAGGTGGGGCTGCGGCAAATCAGGGGTAGGGGGTAGCGGCTTGTTGTATCTCCACCTGGGGGTGGCCTGAGCATGGTGGGAGCTGTCTGGGGTAGATGGCAGAGGTCGGTGCTGCCTGGCCACAGCGGGGTCAGAGGCTTGGGGAAGTGGGCCTTTATGGGGGGCATGCAGCCCTGAACCTAGGGCCAATGGAGGAGGGTGGCTATGCTGCTTCAGCGTGGGAACCACTACACGAGCATGGCCATCTGTCTCCACCACGGAGGGATGGGTGTCCCTCCTCTGTGGGGGAGGAGGGGGCAGAGGTTCGTGGATCCTCACATCCTCCATGGAGACAAAGGATGGGGAAGAACCGTAGGCGGGAGACTCTGTGGCAAAGGCTGGATTATGTGGGGAGACCCAGGGCTGGATGCTGGGAGGACTGCTGGGTCTCTCTAGATTTGAGATGGATTCTTGAGAGTCCTGCTTCAGCGTGGATAAGGCAGTAGGGGATGCTGAAACGGTGCTGTAGTCCCTACCACTCCTTCTGTCCCTTCTTGGGGTCACAGAGCTGTAGATGGCAGGTTTGGGGGGCCTCTGGGGCAGCTCTGAGTGGGAGTAGGAAAGCAACATTCCCACCAGGTCTGGAGTCTGCTCTGTCCTGTGAGAACCAGGGAAGGAGTCACTCCGTAAGTGCTGGACGGTGCCTGTGGAGTTGGCTGGGGGCCTCGGAGGGCTGGTCCCGGTGGAGGGGAAGCCATAGAGGGCAGCCGGGCACATCTCAGAAGTCCCACAGGGAGATGGGTCATCCATTGAGAGAGGGGCACTGGCAGTTTCTGGAGCACGTGCAGCACAAGAGGTTTCCCTCCTGGGAAAGGCAACTGGGGGCCTGGCAGATACCGAGGCAGGTGTGATGGGGTAGGCTTCAGCAGGACTGGGAGGAGCTGAATCTGGTGTCCTTGGAGGAGTCACAGATGCACTGGCAAAGACCACCTCAGTCCCTTGGCTGGACACTGTTCCCTTCCTCAGCCTGGATCCCTCTTGCTGGCTGTTTTGATCTATTTCCTTGTCAGGTGACTCCTCAGTCAAAAAGGAGCCCAGTAGAGAAATGGGCTGGTGAGAGCACCTGATGGGCTCTAGCGAGGGAGACAGAGCTGCGGGGGACAGTTCCTCAGCCCTGGACTCTGTCTGAGTCCCGGGAATCTGAGTCACGAGATATGAGGCACCTGGAAACAGGTCACAGTGAGGAGAGTCCTCAGGGGCTATCAGAGCGGGCATTGAAGGCCCATGATGCTCATTCTCCTCTTCCCTGCTCCTCGCTCTTCCCACTGCCCCCAGCCTGCCCCCATCCCAACTCTCTGGCTCTTTCGCCTCCTGCCCGCTGACTGGCACCCCTTTCTCCTTTATACCATGATCTTCTTGCTTTCCAGTTACTTCCTCTGATTTTCCCAAAAAGGTTTGACTCTTTTCGTCCTGAGAGTCCGCCCTGTTCTCTTCTGGCACCTGCAGCTCCCTCTTCCTCTCTTCTCCCTGTTCTGGACCTCCCTGACCCTGAGCCTTCCTCTCCATATCCTCCTGCTCCCACTCACCGTCATTCAGACCCTCTGGCTCCCCAGTGAGCCCCATTCTTTCTCCTTGTCTCCCAAGCATCACATCTTGTACCTGTTCCTGTTTTTGCTTCTGTTCTCCTTTTTCATCATTAACCTGCTCTATCATCTGTTCCTCCCCTAATAGCCCATCGGCACAAACATCCTCCCTCAGAGTTCCTTCCCCCCGAAATCCTGCTTCCTGCTGTCCCTGCTCCTCCAGAACTTGGACCTCCTGGGGATGCAAGAGCCCTTGACTTTCCTGCAGCTCCTCAGATGGCAGCTCTTCCCCCTGCCTGATAGTCCCACTTTCAGCGCCTTCATTCTGGTTGGTCTCTGCAGGATGCTCTTCGCAGGGAGAATAATATCTGGTCTGACCAGAGTTATCTGAAGAGGTTTCCTCTTCTTCTTCTGCCTGTCCAGATCCCAATGTCAAAGAAGTAAGTCCTGGCCAAAATTCCACCTCCTCTTCTTCGCCTCCCAGGTCACTGGAAAATGGGGCCATGTCTAGATGCTCACTCTGAATGGGGCAGGCCCAGAGCTCTGGGGGAGCTAGAGTCCTTGCTTGTCGGCCTGCTAGGCTCTGGGGTACTGCCTCCCAGTGTTCCGGAGTGTCACAGGCCTCAGCCACAAGGCTTTCCTGATTGGGCTCCACATCTGCAGAACCTTCCTTGGGAAAAGAGGGCATCGTCTCAATCGCATAGTCACACACATCCCTTAACTCACTCTGCTGAGTTGCTGAGAGTCTGTGTTCCTCTCTCCACTTATAGGATGGGTCCTCATCTTCTTGAGCTTCAAGCCCCAAGGCAGAGACCTGGCTGCTCCTCATGGGAGCCTTAGGGATAATGCTGAATTCCTCTATGGCAGAGATGGGAGGAGAGGCTCCACGCTGGGCCTCCTCAGCCTCCATCAGGGCTGAATCCTAAGGAGGAATCAAAGACAAATGTTTCTAACAACTCTGCTTTTACCTATCAGAGGAAGAGACCATAAAAAAGAAGAGTGATGCATTTATTTGGTTCCATTTAGGGTCATTCTTTGAGACAACAGGTTCTCAACAAAATAAGCAATAGCCTCTAAAAAACTTGTCATTGATGTATTTATTTCATAAATATTTTCCTAGCGACCCTGTTAAGTGTGGGGCATTCAGTAGTGAATGAGATAAAGATCTTGTCGTCATGGAGACTGTGGTCTTGTGAGGGAAACAGGTCATAATGAACAATTAAATTATAGCAGAGGACCATTGTCAGAGAGTGCCCAGAAGCTCCCAGTTGTCAGTTCTCTCTAGACTCCATTATGTCATCTTCTGTCTCTCCCTGTCTACTCTTCGGACACTAGGAGTGACTCATCCTCATATAACCCCCAGACACAGCAAGGGACACACCTCAGATCTATTAGGCCAGAGAAGCAGTGTCAGGAGAGGGTCTTCCTCTTAAGCTGTGGACATCAGTTAAAATAGGCCAGGCTATGATAGCCAATGTGTGAGGTGCTATGGTTTCATCTTCTTTACAGAGGGTTTGGAGTTTACTCATCTTTCTGTTTTCCATAGTGTCTACTACAGCATTGTAACTAACAGTTTTGTTTCCAATTCTAGAGGCAGCTGTTGTAAAGTGGGATGATAACAGCCTTATTGGATTAGTGTTGAACTAGACACATTACCACCTTGAAGGAAGACCACAGAAGGGTGCTTTCTGCATCACCTTACTCTCCCCTTGGCCTCAGTATCCATATGAACTCTTCTCATTAATTCTTTTGACCTTCCTGTCTTTTGATTTCGACCTTCCTGCCTTTCTTCTCACTTCCAGCAGAACACCTCATCTCCTATTTTGCAAAGAAAATAGAAACTGATGGAACTGGGTTTCTCTCACCTCAATTTCTTGTGATCCAAAGCAACCTGTATTTCCACTCTTTCTATCTTCCGCCCTCAGTCAGGAAAAGACGTATCCCTCCTTTCCATGCTCTGTCATTTCTTGCCTGCTTCCCCAGGAACACTGTGCACTCATACCTTCAACATCCCTGCTGAACAACCCCTGGGGTATGGAAGCATTCCCACATTCTTCTCATCTTTCAAATGACTAGAAGGAGTTGCTCTTATCTGCTGTCTTCATACTCTCACATCCCACCTGCCTCCAACTGAGCTTTGATAGCGGCATTCTGCCAATATTCCCTACAATCGACATGTTGTTAATTCCAAAGAAGACCTTATGGATCTTCATTTTGGGTGGTTCTTGTCAGTATTTGACAGTACTGAGGTTAGAAATACTCTCTTGTTACTTGTGGTATTACATTTTCCTGGTTTTACCCCTTCAGTTTCCTCCAGTCTTTTTTTTTTTTTCTTTTTTTTTTTTTTTTTTTTGAGATGGAGTCTTGCTCTGTCACCCAGGCTGGAGTGCCGTGGTGCAATCTTGGGTCATTGCAACCTCCACCTCCGGGTTCAAGAGATTCTCCTGCCTCAGCCTCCCGAGTAGCTGGGACTATAGGTGTGTGCCACCACACCCAGCTAATTTTTGTACTTTTAGTAGAGACGGGGTTTCACCATTTTGGCCAGGATGGTCTCAATCTCCTGACCTCGTTATCCACCCGCCTCGGCCTCCCGAAGTGTTGTGATTATAGGCGTAAGCCACTGCACCTGGCCTCCCCTGATCTTTTAACTAGGTTAAATTGTACCCCTCTTTGTAGCACTTACCAACTATAATTCACTTTACTTTTCCTTTGTAGCATTTATACAATTATAATTATATAATGATGTGTGTATTTTGAGTTACCCTCTATTGCAACCAATAGATAGTAAAATTTATGAGATTAAGAACTATGACTTGCTGAATTATCCATACTTAGCCTAATAGTGGCCTATACTCAGTGTTTAATAAATATTTTTCACATAAAGAATAAAATTCAGGTCAGAATAAAATGTGATCCTTTTACTTCAATGGAATATGCCCACCTTTTCCCAAAATCATGATTAACAGTTTACACAGAACTTTAAACATTTAGAGCTCTATACACAACAAATTAATTTTTCTTATTTTTCATTCTGAAACACTAAGGTTTTCCTGCATACATGTCATTAAAAATAATGAAATGCTTCTTTAAATATGTATGTGCCATACATCTAAGAGTCATCGTATAAGATGGGTACCATTATTCTGCCCATTTTACAGATGAAAAACTGAGTTTCCCAATGCACTTTATATATATAATCCTGACACTCTGGGAGGCTGAGGCAGGTTGACTGCTTGAATCTAGGAGTTTGAGACCAGCCTGGACAACCTGGTGAAACCCTGTCTCCACAAAAAATACAAAAATTAGTGGAGCATGGTGGCACGTGGCTGTAGTTCCAGCTACTTGGGGGCTGAGATGGGAGGATCCCTTGAGCCCAGGAGGCAGAGGCTGCAGTGAGCCAAGATCACATCACTGCACTCCAGCCTAGGTGACAGAGTGAGACTCTGTCTCTAAATAAATTAATTAATTAATTAAAATAAAATAAAATTCTTGTTTCCCTCCTGGCCCAGATTCCCCATATCTAATCAATCACCATGTGCTATTGACCTCGTCTGCTAAATATCCCTTAAGACTGTCCACTTCTATCCCATCCCTCTCCACTGGTGCATGCTGCTACCGTCTCGCCCGGGCCACTGCACCCGGCCACAGCTTGGGCACTGGCCTCCACCCATTTCACGTTATTCCAGTCCTTTCTCCATACAGCACCTAAGTGAGCTTCAAAAGCACCAGTTCTAGCTTAGATTCTTCAGCAGCCTCTGAATGCTCTTGAGATGAAATCTAAATCTTCAGCATGGGTTATACTCCCTGCACAACCTGGCTCTGCCTTCTTCTCTAGCAGCCTATTCACCTGTCACCATCTGTCCCTGCCCCCATCCCCCCCCTCTCCCACTGGCTTTCAGTGTCTTTAGCTCACTTCTCTCTGTGTCTCTCACCTGTAGGCCTTTGTAGACACTGCTCCTCTGCCTGGAATCCTCTTTTGCAACAGAGAATCCTTTGCTTCTCCTCAAACACACCTTGCACTTGTCATGTCATATTTAATGTCTATTTTCCAGGCTAGATTATGAGCACCATGAAGGGACAAACACTGCCATATAACCCCCTCTGCCTGAAGCCTAGTTGGCCCTCAACAAAGATGTATTGTATGAATGAATGACGGAAGAATATAGAGTTAGAAGAGTATGGATCAGTGTTTGGTTGTGCCTCTCTGGTATCTTTGCTGGTTTTAAGACAATTGTAGAAACCATTAAATTTATTTGAACATCCATTTTCTTATCTTTAAAAAGGAGATAAAAGGATTCCTTCACAGTTCTAGTAAAGATTAAATAAGGTAACATAAAAATGTACACTGCTATCTTTAAGGGTCATAGAAATGGTGGCTGTGGTAAATACTGTTGACCTGAGAGACAGAGAATAAGTGTAAGAGAGAAACACAGGATTCATAAAGCCGGAAGGACCTTCAGAGACACACAGAAACTGCTCAATTTACAGATGAAGAAACTAAAGGTCAAAGACCCTAGACCCTTGCTCAAATCTCCTAAGCAAATGGTATGGGCAAACCTGAAGCAAAGTCGCTTGACTTAAGTCTCCTGTAAGCACTTAGAGGTCCTACTGAAAGAAAGCTGGCAGGCCATCAGTCCAGAGAAGACCCCAGAATTCTATGGACCCAATGCTGCACCTGACCGTGCACCTTTCTTGTCTGGTCCAGGCTTAAACTGAAAACTCACCTGCTCAGAATACTGTCCTGCTTAGCCACTGTGTACACACACACACACACACACACACACACACACACACACACACACTGAGCCATCCTTACAAACTCTTGCAATAGAGCCTGACATAACCAAACAGGCAGGTCCCTAGCACACTGCAGAGTAGTATGTGACAAGATTCTGGCCATCCCAGAGACAGAGATACCATCTATATGGGGCAAAGAGATATGTCTGACATAATTGTACACAGGCAGAAGGACTTTTATGTCCTTTTCCAGTTAACTGACACCATATGCGATTGGCTCCCTATGTCTAGCCCTTAAGTACAAAATACTATAATCCCTATGGGTGATTCTGTGATGTGGCCCTGTTCTCTCAACCACACATCGAATAATATACTTGCTTACTTTAAGACACTTTCTGAAACTTGGCCTAAGGAGACCATGGGACTAAACCTGTAGTCTCTCCTCACTTACATCTGCATGGTTCAGGCCCTCTCCTCCATATACACCATCACGTCTTCAAAACAAGTAGCCTCTAAATAAAAGTGTGTTTCTGCCATATCTAGGGTATATCTATAAATACCATGTGCTACCTGGACATTTTCTGTTCCAATCTAGTGGCACAGTGCATGCCTGCCTCTGCAAGCCCATTGACACCGTTTCTAACTGTCTTTTTTCATTTGGAAATATCAGTGGTCACCTGCTCAGCCACCAGTTACCGCAAAGGGAGAACATACCCCACGTTCCCTATACTTGATCCTATCTCAGTGATCCCGTTGCAATCAGGCATGACAAAGCTAAAATGTGACAAAGTGAAAGGAAATCTGTAAATCATGGTCTTACTCACGTAAAGGCATCAGGAGAGAGTTTTTTGCAATGCTCATTACGTTAGAGTGCAAACATCCTCATCTCCTTCTCCACTGAGGGTGAATAATCACTGTTTATCTGTGTACAGGCAAAGCCAGGGCATGGGATTATGGGGATACGGCCTTGCTTCAGACCACAGACATTTTGCATCCACATAACCTCACCCACGTGTGACTTCTTGAGAGGCAAAGCTTCAAGTCATCCCTTTAACATAATGTGTGACAGAGCTCACTATCTTCCCTAGAGCCCCCCCCCCAACACCTTAGCTCTTGTCTATTTCTAGTCACTAGAAACAACACTGTATTTCAAGGATACAACCCCTCCCCAATCAAACTGCCAAATCTTTGAACTGAGACTCAGTGCCATATATATATTTTTGAGGACCATGCTTCCTGGATTTTCTAGCAAGGTTGATTTCAAATATTCTGACTTACAAATCACTAAAATAATATTGAGGTTAAAATAAGATCACCACATAGATATATAACTTTATTCACTGTTTGACATCACTGCCCTCAATACTACAAAGATATCAAAACAGGGGTAGCTTTCTGGACCACTGACTACTACAATGTGTGTTCTATCCATTGCGGGAAAGTCCCACCATGCCAGTGAAAGCTGTAATACACATTTATCTATTCTCTAATGTCTGAAAATGTCACACCAACTGCCTTATAGACCAGATAGTTTATATAAGAACATTATTAGTGTCAATGCTGACTTACACTCTACAATCTCATCTGTGGTCCTGGTGGCATCCACACAGATAACATTAGTGTGAGTGACGTGTTTGTGTATTAACATAGACCTTGAGGGTGACTTTGTTCCAGTCTACCTTGCAGGCACTATAAGTGATCAACTCCTGCTTACTCCACAGACACTGTGAGTGACCCAGCCCCTGTCTACACTAGAGCTGTTGGTCACCTGTTTGTCTACACCACTGACACTTGAGTAATGCTGCTCCCGTTGAACCCAAGACCCTACGAGTGACTCCATTCCTGTCCATACCACATAGCGACTGACCTCTCCAGACACCACAAATGACGTATTCCTGTCTATCCCACAGACACCACGTGTAACGTGGCCACGGAACCTCAGACAGACCGCGTTAAGGGCACTGATACACTCTCAGGACCTCTAATATATGAACACTCTTCTCTCTATTGAGAATCACTATATTCTGTTGACGAGAGGGATTCCTTTGCACTCCTCCTGATTTCTCTCTCCTCCCCACTAGGACCATGACATACATTCCTCCTGCATATCAGTCTCACCCAGAACTGACACGCCCTCATCCCATCTTCCCAGCTCCCCAGGACTCCTTCACTAGCCACGGCTTCACTTTTAGGCCCACAGATTGGTTAACAAATGACACCCATTTTGCTAAGGCCTATGCCAGGAACTTCTTCATGCTCCAAATGTGGATAAAACAAGACGTCTGAGACAGAGGCCACATCAAGAGCTTTTTAGCTGGAGCTGGGACCTCTGGATTAGGCCCAAGATGCAAGGCCAGACAGTGGAGTGCAGTAGGGGAGCAAGCTAGGGAGGAACCTCGAAAGGAAAACCACCCTCTCTCATCTGTTTGACACACCCTTCTCTCTCAACCAGACAAGAGTCCTGGCCAGAGTTCACTTCTAGGTAGACAGGAGGGCAAATCTGTCTTTGGAACCCAAGATCCAGGAAGGGAAGAAAGGGACTGAGATCTGGAAATGACGTAGTATCACAACTGGCTCTCCTCCGGTAGTCTTGCCGGAAGGCAACTGCAAAAGATGCTCAGGGGTTCTAGAGCTCTGCGTCCGCATTCTAGCACCCCAACGCCTACCTCAGCCCCCAACTCTAAATAACTTCTTTCCACCTTGCTAAGAATGCAACGTTGTGATTCACATCAAGCTTTAGGAGGCTCCCCATATGTAGGGAACTGGGGTGAGGGGCAGGGCAGGATTCACTGTTCCAGGTTACGGAGCTTTGGTTAACACGGAGAGAAGCTACACATAGACTCACACAGTATGCAAATACCTATGGAGATACATAAGGAAAGGCCCCGGCCTGGTTAAGGAAAAGGAGCCGATAAAACCTCTCCAGGTAAGGAACAGCCTAGAAAGGGAATCTCAGTTATTCCTTCTGATATGGCTTAGCTTTCCCCAGGGCGCCTACTTTGAAGAAAGAGCCCTGATTATTGGCCCGGGGAACGTCTGGGGGCAGGGTGCCCATTTCCTAGGCGGGACCCGACCGGAAGCAAACTTGTAGGCAACAACATTTCCTCTAGTTCCTCTCCTCTTCCCCACCAGGGTCCTCAGCCACACACCCCGAGCCCTGCCTGCGGGCCCAGCCCCCCCATTTCCGGAGCCTGCGCCCCGGACCCAGCGGGGGCTGATCCCTGGGAAAGGCCTGGCTTCCTCTTCCTTCCTGTCCCTGCCCCACCTCCGCCGGGCTCCACAGCCGCCGGGAGCCCAGGGCCGAGACGGGAGGAGGGCACCCACCTGGTCGGTGTCACATGCTGCTTCGGCCCCAGCGTCCCCTCCAGGTCCCGGCGCCGGCCGCAGTCCCCAGAGCCGTCCCCAGCGCAGGCCCGGCCGCCCCACCCGCGACCCGCCCCTGGCCGCCCGACGGGAGGGAGGGATCGGGTTCTCCTAGGAAGTTTCAGGTGAGGAAACAGGGACACACCTTCCCGGAGGAGGGGCAGGGCCCCTCCGCGCGCGAGCCCCATTGGTGTGAAAGAAGCTCCCGCGTCAGAGCTGGGAAGTGCCGGGCCGGCGGGGAGGGGAGCCCGGGCGCACGGGCCAGGCCGCGGGCTGTCCCAGGGAGCCCCGAGGGCGCGGTGCGCGGGCGCAGGTCGGGCGCAGGCGGGGTGACCCGGGGAAGGGGCGCGCACAGAGACAGAGGGAGCCAGCCGGGCCCCACGGTGTCCTCGGACGCCTCCGAAATCTCCCTGCGTGTTTGTTTCTTCGGAGCTTCACCGGAGCCTGACTCTGGAACCGGCCTGTCTGCCTGCTGCAGTCTGTATGTGTTTGTCTTTTGCCTTGGCCGTGCCTCTGGAAGTCTGACATCCGTGGTTGTACATGTGTCTTTATCTTCAGGCCTCATTGGTTTTTGGTTTGTTCGTTGTTGTTGTTGTTGTTGTTTTTTCTGAGACGGAGTCTCGCCCTGTTGCCCAGGCTGGAGTGCAATGGCGCGATCTCGGCTCACTGCAACCTCCGTCTCCGGGTTCAAGAGATTCTCCTGCCTCAGCCTCCCGAGTAGCTGGGATTACAGGTCCGCGCCACCATGCCCGGCTAATTTTTGTATTTTTTAGTAGAGGCCGGGTTTCGCCATGTTGGCCAGGCTGGTCTGGAAACTCCTGACCTCAGGTGATGCACCCGCCTCGGCCTCCCAAAGTGCTGGGATTACAGGCGTGAGCCACCGCGCCCGGCCAAGGCCTCAGTGTTGATTTCTCTTCCGTGATGTCTCCTCCTATAGAATAAAGAGTGTCTCCTCCATCTCCTCCTCCGCCCCCTTCTTCGTTTCTCTCTCTCTCTCCCTCCCTCCTCCCCCCTCCCTGTCCCTCTCCCTGCCTCTTCCTCTCCCCTCTTCCTTCTCCTACTTAGGGCCTAGAAGTGTGCCTCTCTGAAAGGACATGCCCGTGTCCTTCTGTATTCCCGAGTTTATTTTAGAATGAGTGCATATCTCAGGGTGTATGTTCCTTCTAGGGCCTGTGTGTGTGTGTGTGTGTGTGTGTGTATTTAAATCTCTAAGCCCATGTTTGTGTGTTTTCTTATGCCTGTATTTTTTTTTTATTCTTTCAGGGAAACGTGTTCGTTAGTCTTGGAGGCCAAGGCTGAGTGGGTTTATCTCTGTGCCCCTCCAGTGACTTCAAAGAATGCCAAAAGTCTCTCGAGTGTGCCTGTGTGCACACACAGACACACACAAAGTAGGAATCCTTTACCTGGGGGACAGAGATTTCTGTTATTTTTGGTTGAATCTGACCACTCCCCAAAGCCATTCACTACTCCAGGGGTTTCCATGGTGACATAAGTCAAGTGAAATATTAATGGACTCCTTGCCTATTTAGCTCTTAGGAATGCCATGGTCTACAGCCCAAACAGCTTGGCTAGACCATTTCCAGATCACTGTGCCCATTGGCTGTTGCCAATGATCCTGGTTGAACGTGTTCACTAGTTATTTTGAGGTGGCTGTAGAATAGAATGTAATTAAGGAAGTATAGCCTCTTCTGTAATAGAGTCCTGAACAGCTTTATGTTAAAAAAGTGTGCTACTTCTGCCATGTTA
Organism: Homo sapiens; assembly: GCF_000001405.40. NCBI lineage: Eukaryota > Metazoa > Chordata > Mammalia > Primates > Hominidae > Homo > Homo sapiens. The sequence goes on from NC_000007.14 coordinate 144,295,903, forward strand.
CTCTGAAGGATTAAGTCTTAAACAGTTCAGCAGTTTTCAGCCTACTCTAAGCTGCCATGGAGTGTATGGGAAACTATAGGAAAAATTGGGATTAAGACTCAAAAATCTGGATTAAGAAGGGCAGGCCTTGCATGTGTCCTAGGCTCAGCAAAAGGGTAAGAACTGGGAGTACAGAAAGGCAAAAAGTTCAAACTGGGACTGGCTCTACTTCTAGGCTGGAATACAAAACTCATTCCCAGGTATGAGAGGGTCCTTGATTTATACCGAGTGAGCAAAGTGAGAAAACGATGTAATAATTAATAATACTTTAAATTTTCTTTTTATAGGATTTTTGTTTAATGTGTACCTTTTTATTTATTTCTGCTTTTCCTCCCGAGGCACATCTTCACAATGAAATCTTCACAAGCTCAGAACCATCAACTTGCTACACTGTGTTCCTCCAGTGCCCAGTTCACAGGAAGCACTCAAGAGTAGGATCAATTGTTATCAACCTCTAGCAGATTATTGAATAGACGGTCGTTACATGAAACTGACACTCAGTTCTTCATGGTCCACGATAGTTCTTATATCCAGAAAACGTACTTACGTTATCAACTCTGACTCCATAAGACAACTTTGCAAAGTCTTGGCTCATAACTATGTAAGCAATGAGATAACTTACTTTTCATTTCTCACTTGTTACTTACAAGTAAACAGCCCTGCAGCTCAGCTGAGCTACAGATTAACTACAGGTAATCACTTCAGCGATTCTGCTTTACCCATGCCCAAGATTTTAAAAAAGAACCTGACAGATCATTAAATTTTGAGATTTGCTTTTTAAAATGCAGGTTCCATAAAGTTACGCTGTTTTGCTTATATATACAGCAACAAATGCCTTCTTAGATATTTACTTTAAAATTCTAGTTTCCTTACCATGTATTAGCCAGATAATCTGTCATTTTTTAAATTCTGAAATTGTACACATATAAATTAATGTACATCTCTATGCCTGAAAGGTACATTTGGAATTACAACGTGTGTCAAGGTAGAGCAAAATCCCCCAGTCCACTCCTTCCAACCCCCTAGAAATTTACTCTGTTTGGTTTCCTCTTGATTGTCTTTAATTAACAATAAGTATGTCACATAGGTATCAAATAAAATAAGAAAAAAAATAGATAAAAGAGAAGTGATTCAAAATTCAAGTGTTTAAACACTTTATGAATCTTCCCGTTGTTCTTGACACATTTTTAAAATTTCATTTTAATTCAGATCATTAGGGATGAAATTCTCCTGAATTGTAGCATTTTATTCCCTTTGGGAAGAAGGGGCTGAATTTGGCATAATTATACTTGACTATACCGTAAAAGAAACCAGATCTAATATAAGGACATCAATACTTAGTTATTAATTCATTTGCTTATATTTATATGTCATTTGAAAATGTGTATTAACATACACAATTAAAGGGATATAAAAATGAACATGCCCTCTCCATTTCTTTAAAAGAAATCAAGGCTGAATCAAACAGGACTACTGTTCTGAAAGAATACTCAGACTATGAGGTACCTTATTTTCCTTCTTTTACACCTGTCTTTCAGTTGGCTTCAAAAAATCATGGCTTTTACTGTGTTTCTTTTTTCCTTTATGTCTTCCTTTTGAGGGAAATGAAAAATTGAGAAAGGAAATTATTATTTTATAAGTGGGTGGGTTTGAATACATCTTTCACAGTCAAATATTTTTCTATGCCTTATGAGCTTAAAAAATAAATTTAGAAAGTTTGATAAACACAGAAATTTTTTATTTTATGTTATTTTATGAGATGAGGGCTTGCCATGTTATCCAGGCTGTCCTGGAACTCCTGGGCTCAAGCTATCCTCCTGCTTTCAGCCTCCCAAGTAGCTGGAACTACAGGTGCATATGACGGCACCTACTGAGAAATTTTTACTATCAACCTAAAATTTAATAAGTCCTGGTCACAAGTGAGGAATTTTTAATTTGTTATTTAGATTATTTTTGTGTCAAGGTAACTTGATCACCTATCAATAATGCTTATAAGAAAATAGATATCTCATCTGTTGCTGTTAGAAAGGAATCTGTCTCTTTCCCCAGTTCTTGCTTCAATGAGGTTTCCTTGACCCAGAGTCTGGTCCTCACATTTTAGATTCAGCTTTGGGAATTTTGTTCAGGAACTGCATCATACAACCCAAAAGCAAAAGAGGAAAATGCATAAGCCAGGATACCTAAATGTTCATTTATTTAAACTTGAAAATGTGACTGCAAAAGGAGTCAAGAAGTTTAGTACTCAACACATTTCTTCTTTGTAGAAATAACTGCTCAAGAAGATAAATTGTTACCTAACAGTTGATTGATGAATATGAAATCAGAGCAAGAGGGGCTAATTAGAGATTTTACTAGCTAGGGCTATTTACCCAAACCATCTATCCAGACTGTAGACATAGAATCACCAGATGGCTAGGATCCTGGTGCAGCTGGTTCCCCTTTTTCCTTACCCTGAATGTCATTAAGGATGCATTGCCAAATGCTGCCCCTCTGGCCTGATGACTACACTCCATATTGGTCACCTGCCTTCTTTTTCCTACAGTCTTCCTCCAGACAGGCACGCCATACAACCGACTACACTTGGGCTCACTGAATGAATCACATTCTTCTGCTGTGCCTCCCAGAGATTTCATCAAAGCACCCGCAGTGGCCTTCTGGAGGCTCCTCAAACTCTCCACTCAATGTTTCCTGAAAGTGTCGTGTTTCTCACCTCTAGATTGTTATTCTCATCAGTTACATGTGGGTTTCACAAATTTATTTCTCAGAATGCAAGTCTGTCTCTTATATCCTCGGGAAACACACCTTTATATCCCAGTTAGTACTGACAAAAATTAAACTAGGGACTGGCCAAAAACAGTGCCTTTCCTCACTTTAATCTCACTAAAGTAGATAAGACTCAAGTTATTTTGTTCTTGCAATGGCATTGACAAATGTTTGCACCAAAAACCATGTTGAAGTTCATTAAGGAAACTGTGATCCAAGATCCAAGGTCAAAAAAACAAATTCATCAATTCAGCACACCACCAACTCACAGGCTAAGCATCTTACTGCTAATTCATTGATGCTGCCATTTGTCAAGTGCCAAATTGAATTATTGATTTGTCAATAATTTCCTTCCGTTGGTTACTTATATAGTATATTGCAATTCTTGTTGCTGAAGTCAGCTACACTTTTTCTATTTGAAAAACAATTTCTTGCATTTGGGATTTCAGGTATAGTGATTGTTACAAATATGAAGGACTTGAATTAACAGCAAGTTTTCAAGTAAAACTTTACTTATGTATAACTGAATGAGTTCTTAAAGACATTTACTAACAATTTTCCACAAACTAAAAATTTATAAAACAATAAATAAAATAGACTTTAAAAAAAAGCGTGTCACACAGCTGCTTGTTTTTTGTTTGTTTCTTTGTTTGTTTTTTAGTAGTGAAATGGTGAAAAATCAGACAATGGTCACAGAGTTCCTCCTACTGGGATTTCTCCTGGGCCCAAGGATTCAGATGCTCCTCTTTGGGCTCTTCTCCCTGTTCTATGTCTTCACCCTGCTGGGGAATGGGACCATCCTGGGGCTCATCTCACTGGACTCCAGACTCCACACCCCCATGTACTTCTTCCTCTCACACCTGGCCGTCGTCAACATCGCCTATGCCTGCAACACAGTGCCCCAGATGCTGGTGAACCTCCTGCATCCAGCCAAGCCCATCTCCTTTGCTGGCTGCATGACATAGACCTTTCTCTTTTTGAGTTTTGCACATACTGAATGCCTCCTGTTGGTGCTGATGTCCTACGATCGGTACGTGGCCATCTGCCACCCTCTCCGATATTTCATCATCATGACCTGGAAAGTCTGCATCACTCTGGCCATCACTTCCTGGACATGTGGCTCCCTCCTGGCTATGGTCCATGTGAGCCTCATCCTAAGACTGCCCTTTTGTGGGCCTCGTGAAATCAACCACTTCTTCTGTGAAATCCTGTCTGTCCTCAGGCTGGCCTGTGCTGATACCTGGCTCAACCAGGTGGTCATCTTTGCAGCCTGCATGTTCATCCTGGTGGGACCACTCTGCCTGGTGCTGGTCTCCTACTCACACATCCTGGCGGCCATCCTGAGGATCCAGTCTGGGGAGGGCCGCAGAAAGGCCTTCTCCACCTGCTCCTCCCACCTCTGCGTAGTGGGACTCTTCTTTGGCAGCGCCATCGTCATGTACATGGCCCCTAAGTCCCGCCATCCTGAGGAGCAGCAGAAGGTCCTTTTTCTATTTTACAGTTCTTTCAACCCGATGCTAAACCCCCTGATTTACAACCTGAGGAATGTAGAGGTCAAGGGTGCCCTGAGGAGAGCACTGTGCAAGGAAAGTCATTCCTAAGAGGTGTGACATTTGAACTGCCAGCCTCAGTTGTCACGTGGACTCTTGATGCCCAATTATTGCCTCAATCCAGAAAAGTTTACTTCTCTTTATCTGTGCTTTACTGACAGAAGGGCAAGTCTTCTCTCGTTTTTTGCAGATAAAATTTTAGATGTGTTGCATTCATTGGGTTTCTATGAGATGTGGTTTTATCAGACAATTTTTTCTTTTATTTCACAATTACTTTAATATCTGTAAAATAAAGAATTATTTTAATTCATTTTCCCAGTCCCAAAAGTTAAATACAGGCCACTTACTTCTTTAACCAAATGATATAGTTTGGCTCTGTGTCCCCACCCAAATCTCATGTCAAATTGTAATCCCCGCATGTCAGGGGAGGGACCTGGTGGGAGGTGATTGGATCATGGGGAGGGATTTCCCCCTTGCTGTTCTGTTGATAGTGAACGAGTTCTCACGAAATCTGATGGTTTAAAAGTGCAGCACTTCTCCCTTTGCTCTCTCTCTCCTGCTGTGCCATGGTAAGACGTGCCTTGCTTCCCCTGTGGCTTCCGCCATGATTGTACCTTTCCTGAGGCCTCTCCAGCCATGTGGAACTGTGAGCCAATTAAACTTCTTTTCTTTAGAAATTATCCAGTCCCGGGTGGTTCTTTATGGCAGTGTGAAAGCAGACTAATACACCGAACTATATAAACTCACTAACGGCATATGTCATAAGATTTAAAAGAAAATAAAAAGGTTCAGCCAAAGAAGTGATTCCCAAAACCCAGCAGCACACTTGTCCATTCTCACACAATTGCACTTTCCCTGTTAAATAGAGGGATTTAGTTAGTTGTGTTGCATGCGCTGAGAAATTTTGTGTAAAACTTATTAACTCATGTACGGGAGTTAACTAGTAGGCTGAGTGAAGGAACAAACTTAAAAGAAGAGATAAGTCAGGCACAGTGGCTCATGTCCGTAACCCCAGCACTTTGGGAGGCTGAGGTGGGTGGAACACTTGAGGCCAGGAGTTTGAGACCAGCCTGGACAATGTGGCAAAACTGCATCTCTACTAAAAATACAAAAATTAGCTGGGCGTGGTGGTGCATGCCTGTGATCCCAGCTATTCTGGTGACTGAGGAATGAGAATTGCTTGAACCTGGGAGGCAGAGGTTGCAGTGAGCCAAGATTGCGCCACTGCACTCCAGCCTGGGAGACGGGGAGACACTGTCTCAAAAAAGAAAACAAAAAAGGAAAACAAAAAGAACATATATAAGGGAAAAGAGAGAAGAGAAGCAAAAGAACACTACAGACCGTGTGGGAACAGTGAACAGTGTTTACAAAGTTCAGGGTAAACTCAGTAGCTAGTAGCTGGCAAAGAGGCAAAACTGGGCATTCCCTGTTGAAAAGGCTGAAAATGAGTATCCAAGAAAACTATTTGGGTTGTTTATGGTTTCTTCAGAAAACATTGAGTGTTGAGCTGTGTATTGTACATATGCACATCTGTCTCTAAGCGTGATTCTCCAGTGTCTTTTCATCAGCTCTTCCACCTTGGTTAGTCCAGTTGTGGATCATTTCCCTCATTAGAATGTCTTACCCCTGAAAAAGGAAATTTCACCAGACAGTGTAGGTATGTAGCTAGCTCTTCAACCATGGTGGTGAAGAAATTTTTGCTGAGCCAATCTATTTTCCTGTTAAAAGGTAAACTGAGGCACAATAAAATTTTAAAGAGTTTACTTGAGCAAATAGCAATTCATGAATCAGACAGCTCCAAACTATAAGTGGTTCATGGGCTCCACTAAAGGAATGCAAGGGGAGGGCTTTTACAGGACAACCACGGAACTAAAGCAAAGAAAATATTTGATTGGTTACCTTTATACAATTGCCTTAGTTGGCCTATACTGCTGGAAAGTCTTTAGTTATATAACTTAGTTGGCAGCTTCTGAGTGGTTAATCTTAAATTTCATTTTGCTTTAATACAAGTATTTATAAGAAATAGTTCAAGTTAATTTTCACTTGTGTTTGCAAATCAGTCTGGGTTAGGTCACTTATGAGGCCTAACTGGCTTTCCCTGCTCCAGGAAAAGTGATTCCATAAGTGACCTAACCCAGCCTGAATCATCTAAGTGATTCTCCATGTCTGGTTTCCATTTTAATTTTCTTTAACAAATCTTCACTACAAATCTAATGGTTAGAGATGAGTCCCCATGCATTTTAGGTGGCTTCCCAGAGTGTTACCTATAAATTCTACTTTCTAACCTTCCCTAAGATTAGGATGCCACTTGCTTCCAGAGTCTTTCTCAATTTTACAAGAGAGCATGTTAATACTTTTTCAGCAAAATAAGTGTATGCCTTTCACTTAGGGGTTAACAAGTACTCCACCCAACTCATTATTATTCCCTGTGGGTGAAGATACCCAGGCAGAACTTATTAAATGTAAAAACAAATGAGTTTTTGTAATAATAGCTAACATTTTGACTCACCACTCAATGGCATATGCTACATATTAATAGCACTTTACATGGGCCATTTCATTTAGTCATAACAAATCCAGGAAGAAGGTCCTATTGTCACTATTTTATGTATGCACAAACCAGAAAGCAGCAAGTGTCAGACTTATCCCTAGACAGTCTGGCTCCCAGCCTCTGTACATAGCACATCAATGTAGAATTTTAATATCTATGTTATCAAATAAAGGATAAGGTAAATGTATCCCAAGGCAGAACTATTAAAAGAAGGAAGCTTTCTTTATAGTCTGATGTATGCCACAGGGAGCTGATCTGTTCTCTCTAAGGCGTGGAGGACCAGAGATCATGTATGAGAGGCTGGTTGTCCTGGATGGTGACTCTTATGTGCTGAGTCACATGAAAGCACTGGACTTCTAGACAAATGCAGAACATGAAGAAGATGAGAATAAAGGTAGTTCTCACTGAGACTGGCTATTTAGTTCAGCTAAGACCCAGAACCAACACACCCATAGTCAGTCTCTCTCTCTCTCTTTCTTTCTTTCTCTCTGTCTCTCTCTCTCTCACACACACACACACACACACACAAACACACAGAGCTTATTTACTTTGTGCCAGTCACTGCTCTAAGAATTTTACATGTATTACCTCAATTAATCCTCAAAATAACACTTTGAGTCAGAAGATAATCAATATCCTACCTTACATATAAAGAAACTGAGGCACGGAGAGATTAAGCAACTGGCCCGGTACCTCACAGCTAACAATTACCCAGTCCAGGATTGAACTAAGACAATCTGATCCCTGACCCTATAGCCATAACCACTACACAGCACGGCCTCTATAGAGCATATCTGTGAATAAAGATCAAAGAACTCGTGACAGTGAAAGAAAACACATAATTAAGACCAAACTATGGATATTCAGCTTTAGATAGAAAGGGGTATACATCTTCTAAAGGAAGCAGCTTGACTCTAAACAGAGATGTGAAAAAAGTGGGGGAGTGGTCGCAAGAAAGAACTGTGACTCCAAGGGTCAGGGATGCATGGCCGTGAGGACTCTGGGGTTGAGCTGGAGAGTGAAACAGACAACACTGAACGAGAAGACCGACAATGCAGTGTTACAGCAGTGCCTTACCAATTGATGAGAACTAAAATGGATGTTTTATAGCATTTTATCTAAAAACAGCCCCAAGAAAAAGGAATTCAGTTTCATTATTGATATTTAAAATGGTTATAATCTTTCAGGTGGTATTTACCTGAAAGTTTACCTGAGAACATTGCTCAGGTAGGTATCAAATTTCACATCTAAGATGGGGAGCTCCGCAACAGCAGGAATTGGAATCCATTCATTCATTTATCAGTAACATGAGCACATTGCCTAGCACCTAGTAGGCACTCACTAAGCACTGGCTGCACCAATTCATGCACCTTTAACTATCTGCTGAGTACTTAGACACAATTGTCAGTGTTAAACTATATTCTGATTTCTGTATTTTAAAAATCCTTGGGCTTGGCGTGGTGTCTCATGCCTGTAATCCCAGCACTTTGGGAGGCCAAGGCGGGCGGATCACGAGGTCAAGAGTTCAAGACCAGCCTGACCAACATGGAGAAACCCCGTCTCTACTAAGAATACAAAAAAATTAGCCGGGCATGGTGGCATGTACCTGTAATTCCAGCTACTTGGGAGGCTGAGGCAGAAGAATTGCTTGAACCTGGAAAGCGGGGTTTGCAGTGAGCCAAGATCACGCCACTGCACTCCAGCCTGGGCAACAGAGCAAGATTCCATCTCAGAAAAAAATAAAATAAAATAAAATAAAATAAAAATAAAAATAAAAATCATTTTATCTGAATAACACAGAATAGTAGAAAGTAATTGTAGCTTAAAAATTATTTAGCACTTGTGTACGAGACAATATGTTAAATGTTTTTGATATAATCCTCACATCAACACTGTGAATTAAGTACTAATAATATCCTCATTTATAGAGGGGAAATTGAGGTTTAGAGAATTAATTAATTTACTCGATGTCAACGAAATATCAAGTGGTAGAAATAAAACTGTAGTCCAGTCAATCTACTCTACATTAACTGAGAACCATTCTTTTGGAAAGGGCCTATTGATATTTGTATCTTCAGTGGCTAGACCAGGCCAGTTTCATAGTAGTTACTCAATAAATGTTGACTAAATAAATAAATGAGTAATCATGTAGTCCACACTTCTATATTTTTAAAAAAGGATCTCCATAAAATATGTAATTAAATACAGTGTCAGTCAATTTAATCATGTTTAGCTCCAGATACATTCCGTTTTTGCAAAAGTTTCTTCTGAGATGAATATTAATAAACTACATCTCATCTGTCAGTGGCCACAGAGAAATTGTAAACACATTCAGAGAGGATATTTCGAGACTAATATAAAAGAAAACTAGGATGATATATATTTGTTCCTATCATATAGAACAAAGGTTATAGGTCTTTCAAAAAGACTGTCCCAAATTGCCAAACCCTATGGTTATAGTATGACACAACGTGATTGTGCTGGCACAGTAGCCATGGAGAGAGTGTTCCCCTCCTCTGTCTTGCCAAAGAGTAGAGCATAAGGCACTGTAATTACTGAAAATGACACGGATGACACCCTGGGAGTGGAAGTCAGTGCATGCACTACCTTAAATTGGCCCCCATGGTGTCCTTGGTATGTAGAGTGAGCACTGCCATCACTGACCTGTAGGACCATTCTTTACTCTTTGCTAGGTAATGTAGACCAGTGCTTCTCACATGTCAATGTGTATATTAATCATTCAGGGATCTTGCAAAAATACAGGTTCTGATTCAACAGGTCTAAATGAAATAGGCAGAGATTTGCATTTCTTATCATCTCTCATACCTTGCTGATGCTGCGGATCCATAGACCACACTTTGAATATTAATCATATAGAGATTCATTGTTAAATCTATGGTTCCTAAGAAAAAGTGAAGGCCAGGCACAATGGCTTACATCTGTAGTTCAGCACTTTGGGAGGCTGAGGCAGGAGGATTGCTTGAGCCCAGGAGTTTGAGACCAGCCTGGGCAACATAGTGAAACTCTGTCTCTTCAAAAAACTTCAAACATAAAAAAATTAGCCAGGTGAGGTGGCACATGCCTATGGTTCCAGCTGCTTGAAAAGCTGAGATGGGAAACTTGCTTGAGCCTAGGAGGTTGAGTTCGCAGTGAGCCATGGTTGCACCACTGTATTCCACCCTAGGTGACAGAGAAAGACCCTGTCTCAATGGGGGGGGTGGGGGGTGGGGGGAAGAAAAGAAAAGAAAAAAGAAAAAGTGGGAGAAAAACAAGAGTTGGAATGCTGTCTCACAGCTCTGATGTTTTCCCAGACCATATCAATTTTTCTTACCTTCTTGATGAACTTTGATTAAGAGCCCTGCTTTCATTTGACTTGCTGTTTTGGTTTTTGTTTACTTTTTTTGACCTGTCTCTGTTTATTCGTTTGTTTTTAATTTTTGTAATCTTGTTGGGTCAAGAGAAGAGGTTCACTACTAGGCACGGCCTGGTTTGGTCCTCAGATGACTGGCTCAGAGCCAAGACATCTGGATTCTCTAAAATATTGAAAAAACCAAAGGTGCTTTTCCTACTCCTTTGCTTATACTCACACAGTCACTCAACAATTTACTTCTAACAACAGATACGTTGAGGTTTTTCCCCACACACCTAGCAATCTGCAATGGACACCGACTGCATGCCCTAAAAATCAATTCAATTCTGACACTATCTACTGGGAGACAGTGTCAGATCCCACAAGCCTGTTCCCCCCACCCAACACTACAGATGGTAATTGCAAGCCTCAGGTTGCGACCTGTGCTTCTGTTCAACTGGCTATACATTGGGACTCTCATGACCCCCCGCCTTAGGCTCAATTAATTTGCTAAAGTGGCTCACAGAACTCAGGGAAACACTTTACTTAAGTTTGACCATTTACTACGAAGGATATTACAAAGGATAGAGATGAACATCCAGATGAGAGAGATGCATCTGGTGAGGTATTGGAGAAGGGGCATGGAGCTTCCATGACCTCTCTGGGCACACCACCCTCCAGGAACCTCCATGTGTTCAGCAATCAAGAAA